>NC_000011.10:5514545-5817575 GCF_000001405.40 Homo sapiens | reverse complement strand
TTTTAAATTGAATTAAAATTAACTTCACTAGTAGTAAGTATGTCACTTTTTTCAAGCGTTCTTGGTCAACTTTTTTTGTATATTTATTAGTCATCCACCTCCTTGTCCATCTTCATTGGAGGTGTTAGTGTTTATTCATTGCATGATAAGCACTTTCAAAATGAAAATTATCAACCCATTGTCTGTTGTATTTGCAAACTTTTTTTTCAAGGTAGTATTGGTTTTAAATTTTATATTATAGTGGAAAGTAATTGTATATTTTGACCTTTCTTCCTTTTTACTAAAAAACCCCACAAAACACAATTTTTCTATACTTAAACTCTTTTGTATGAAATGATATGAAGTAGAAAATAGTCATAACATTCCCATAAACTCACATTTCACCTTAATCCACTTCTGAAGTAAATGCTATTAAAACCTAAAGTCTGATGTATGTATTTCCAGAAATTTCTTTTATAAGTATTTAAAAAATTAATGTATTCCTTTTGTTGTTTTGTTTAGCTTTCAGCATTAGCAATATTACATACAGGTGTATAAAGATTCCTGCGACTCCTTGGAAACAAAACTTTCATTTAAATGAAAAATTTAGTTGTGTTTATAAAACAATAGAATACACACAAAATTATTTTGTCAAAATTTAAATTAATGCAGCTATTACAAAAATACATATATGAGTTTCAGTGTAAACTCTTCTCTTTTAGATCTAAAAATGTAGAAAAATGAGAATTGGTATGAAACATTGGTTGGATTTAGATCAGGAGGTCAGGCGCAGTGGCTCACACCTATAATCCCAGCACTTTGGGGGGCCCAAGAGTTTGAGACCTGCCTGGACAATATGGTGAAACCCGTCTCCACTAAAAATACAAAGATTAGCCAGGCGTGGTAGTGCAAGCCTGTAGTCCCAGCAACTCGGGAGGCTGAGATGGGAGGGTCGCTTGAGCCTGGGAGGCAGAGGTTGCAGTGAGCTGAGATAACTCTACTGCACTCCAGCCTGGGTGACAGAGTGAGACCGTGTCTCTCAAAAAAAGAAGATTTAGATCAGGCTTCCTAAATTGGAGACCATACATGGCCTCCGCACTGTTTACACTCAACTGCATGAAGACCTCCTATGCAGTTCTTTAAAAAGAAAGTTCATAGGGTGCCCTATAATTTATCACTTTGCTCATAAATATTTGTATTGTGTTTGGTTTAGTTATTGACATGCCCGATTCATTCTTTTTGTAGTGTAGTAAAATATACATAACAAAGTTTGCCATCTTAATCATGTTCAGGTATATACAGTTCAGTGGCATTAAATACATTCATCATGTTTTGCAGCCATCACCACTCTCCATCTCCAGAACTCTTTTCATCCTGTCAAACTGAAACTCTACACCCATTAAACAATAACTCTCCATTTGCCCTCCCACCAGCCTCTGGCAACCACTATTCTTTCTGCTGTCTAATGATTTTGACCTTTCTAGGTACTTTATATAAATGGAATCATATGATATTTGTCTTTTTGTGACAGGCATATTTTATTTAGCATAATGTCCTAAGTTTCATCTATGTGGTAGCAGATGTCAGAATGTTCTTCCTTTTTAAGTCTGAGTAATATTGCATTATATGTACAGGTATATACACACATACATATATATATACATATATAATGTATATATACACACGTATATACACACATGTATATACACACATACACATACATACTACATTTTGCTTATCCATTATTCATTCATCCATTGATGGGCAATTAGATTGTTCTTATATCTTGGTTACTGTGAATAATGCTGCAATGAACGTGTGACTGCAGACACCTCTTCAACATACTGATTTCAATTCTCCTGGGGATCTCACGCAATAGTGAGATTGCTGAATCATATGCTATTTTTAGTTTTAATTTTTTGAGGAACTACCATACTGTTTTCCACCGCAGCTGTAGCATTTTACATTTTTGCCAAAAGGGCACAAGTGTCCAATTTCTCTACATTCTCACTGACATTTATTATTTTCTGTTTATTTTTATAGTAGCCATCCTAATTGGTGTAAGGTGGTTTTTTATTGTAGTTTTAATTTGCAGTTCCCTAATGATTACTGATGTCCAGTGTCTTTTATGTGTTTATTATCCATTTGTATATCTTCTTTGGAGAAATGTCTATTCTAATCCTTTGCCCATTTCTTATTAAGCTGTTTGTTGTTGTTGTTGAGGTTTAGGAGCTCTATATATATTTTGGATATTAATACCTATCAGATATATAATTTATAAATATTTTCTTCTGGTCTGTGGGTTGCCTTTTTACTTTGTTTATAGAATCTTTTGATGCACAATTTAAAAACAAATTTCATAAAGTCTAATTTATCTGTTTTTTTCTTTTGTTTCCTGTGCCTGTGCCTTTAGTGTCATTTCCAAGAAATCATTACCAAATCCAATGTCATAAAATTTTTTCTCTTTGTTTTCTTCCAAGAGTTTCATAATTTTAGGTTTTATTTTTACGTCTTTGATCCATTTTGAGTTAATATTTGGACATGCTGTTATGTAACAGTCCAACTTCATTTCTGTACATGTAGATACCCAGTTTTCTCAGCACTATTTATTGTAAAGAATGTCCTTTCAACATTGAATGATATTGACACTCTTGTCAAAAGTAACTTTACCACATATGTGAGGGTTCACTCTGGGCTCTCTGTTCTACTTCATTGGTCTGCAGTTCTGACTTTGTGCTAGTGCCACACTGTTTTGGTTTACTGTCACTTTGTCATAAGTTTTGAAATCAGAAATGTGAGTCCTCCAGCTTTTCTCTTTGTTCAAGATTGCTTTGGCTATGTAGGGTCCCTTGAGATTTCATATGAATTGTAGAATGGATTTTTCTATTTCTGCAAAATTAATTATTGGGATTTTGATAGGGATTTTACTAAATCTGTAGATTACTTTGGGTTGTACTGACATCCTAACAATACTATCGTCCACCCCTTGAACATGGCATGTATTTCCATTTATTAATGTCTTCTTTAATTTATTTCGGCAATATTTTACAGTTTTAATTATATAAGTTTCTTGCTTTTGCATTAATAACAAACAATCTGAAAGGAAATTAGGAAAATAATTTAATTTACAATGGAATTAAAAATAAAATATAATTTTATTATGTATTTTGTATTTTCTTATGTATTTTATTATTTTATGTGCTATTGTGAATTGTTTTTTCTAAATTTCTTTTCAGATTGTTGTTAACGTATAAAAAGGCAACTGATTTTTGCATTCTGACTTCGTATCTTGTTACCTTGCTCATTTATTATTTTAACAAGTTTTGTGGAATCTTTAGGGTTTTCTACATAGTAGATCATTTCAACGGTGAACAAAGATAATTTTACTTCTTCTTTTTCAATTGAGAGGCCTTTTATTTCTTGTCCTTGCCTAATTGCTCTGGCTAGGACTTTCAGTACTATGTTGAATAGAAGTGGTGAAAGAGGATACCTATGTCTTGTCTAATTTCAGAGGAAAAGCTTTCAACTTTTCACCACTGAGTATGATGTTAGCTGTGGGCTTCTGATACTTGTGTTGAGGTACACTTCTTTAATATCTAACTTGATAAAAGTTTTCATCATGAAAGGAGGTTGAATTGTGTCAAATGCTTTTTCTGCATTTATTGAAATGATCATATATTTTTGTCATTCATTCTGTTAATGAGGTGTGTTGCATTTATTGATTTGTGTGTGTTGAAACATCCTTGTATTCCGGTGATAAAGCCCAAGTGATCATGGTGAATGATCCTTTTACTGTGCTGTTGATTCGGTTCACTAGAATTTGTTGAGGATTTTTGCATCTGTTTAACAGGATATTGGCCTATTGTTTTCTTTTTTGTTGTCCTTGTCTGGCGGATGTCAATGTAATGCTGGCTTATTAAAATGAGTTTGGAAGTATTCCCTTCTCTTTCACTTTTTGGAAGAATTTGAAAATACTTGGTATTAATTCCCCTTTAAATGTTCGGTAGAATTCAGCAGTGAAGCCTCCATGTCCTGGATTTTTTTTATTTTTTTTGATGGGAGATTTTTTATTACTGATTCAATTGTTTTACTTATCTTTGGTTTGTTTAGATATTCTATTTCTTTATGATTTAGTATTGGTAAGTTGTAAGTGCAGTTCAGGTCCAATGTTTCCTTATTGACTTTCTGTAAGTTGTAAGTGCCAAGGAATTTATCCATTTCTTGTAAGTTATCCAGTTTGTTGGCATATAATTGTTTGTAGTAGTCTCTTATGACCCTTTGGATTTCTTTGGATTCAGTTGTAATGCCTCTTTTTTCATTTCTAATTTTATTTCATTTGAATCTTTTTACTTTTTTTTTATAATTTCTATTTCATTTATTTCTGATCTGATCTTTATCATTACCTGCCTTCTAATTACATGGGTTAAGCTTTTTCTAGTTCCTTGAAATATAACATTAGATTATTTATTTGAGATCTTTATTATTTTTTTGATGTAGGTGTTTCTTGCTATGAACTTTCCTTGTAGAACTGCTTTCATAGCATCTCATGAGATTTCCTTTGTTGTGCTTACATCTCCATTAGTACCAATATATTATTTAGTTTCCCCTTTTATTTAATTTTTGATCCATTGGTTTTTCAGGAGTGTAATTTTCATGTATTTGTAAATTTTTCAAACTTCCTCTTATTATTGGCTTCTAGTTTTATATAATTGTGATAGAAAAATATATTTGATATGATTTCAGTCTTTAAATTTTTATTTAAAATTTAAATTTTTTAAGACTTGTTTTCCAGCCTAAAATATAACTGATTTGGTCTGAAGTATAGTTCAAGTCCAGTGTTTCCTTGTTGATTATCTATCTGGGTGATCTTTTCATTGTTGAAAATGCGGTGTTGACATCCCCTACTATTATTTTATTGCAGTCTATCTCTCCCTTCAGCTCTATTAATATTTTCTTTATATATTTAGGTGCTGTGATATTACAGACATATATATTTACAATGGTTAATGTGCTTGATTAATTGCCCTCTGTATCAATATATAATTACCTTTACACTATTTTAAATTTTTGTTTTTCCTCATTTCTTTTTTTTTTTTTTTTTTGAGATGGAGTCTCGCTCTGTCACACAGGCTGGAGTGCAGTGGCAGGATCTCGGCTCACTGCAAGCTCCGCCTCCTGGGTTCACGCCATTCTCCTGCCTCAGCCTCCTGAGTAGCTGGGACTATAGGCGCCCGCCACCATGCCCAGCTAATTTTTTGTATTTTTTAGTAGATACAGGGTTTCACCGTGTTAGCCAGGATGGTCTAGATCTCCTGACCTCGTGATCCGCCTGCCTCGGCCTCCCAAAGTGCTGGGATTACAGGTGTGAGCCACCTTGCCCGACCCTCCTCATTTCTTCTCAAAGTAAAAAACAGGATACGTGTGCAGAATGTGCAGGTTTGTCACATAGGTATACGTGTGCCATGGTGGTTTGCTGTACCTATTGACCCATCCTTTAAGTTCCCTCCCCTCAACCCCCAACCCCCAACAGGCCTTGGTGTGTGTTGTTTCCCTCTCTATGTCCATGTGTTCTCATTGTTCAATTCCCACTTATGAGTGAGAACATGCAGTGTTTGATTTTCTGTTCCTGCCTTAACAGTTTTTGATTTAAATGCTATTTTAGCCAATATACATATAGCTACTTCTGAACTCTTTTGCCTTATATTTGCCCAAAATATCTTTTTCCATTCCTTTGCTTTCAACCTGTGTGTGTGTCTTTAGAGGTGAAGTGATGCCCTCACAGGCAGCAAATAGTTGGGTCTTCTATTTTTAATTCATTCAGCAAATCTATGTCTTCTGATTGAAGAATTTAATCATTTTGCTTTCAAGGTAATTATTGATAAGTAAGGACTTACTACAGCCATTTTGTTGTTTTCTTGTTGTTTTTTACATTCTTTCTTCCCTTCTTTTTCTCTTGTTGTCTTCTTTTGTGATAGATAATTTTCTCTAATAGTGTGCTTTCGTTCTTTACTTTCTATATTTTGTGCATCTACTATAGGTTTTTGCTTTGTGGTTACCTCAAGTCTTACATAAAACATTCTATATTTATAAAAGGCTATTTTAGGCTGATAACAACTTCAATTGCATAAAGAAGTTCCATACTTCTACTCAACTCTCCCTGATATTTTATGTTTCTGATGTCACATTTACTTCTTTTTATATTGTATATCCCTTAACAAACTATTGTAGCTGTCTATTTTTTAAATTAATTTTGTCTTTTAACATTCATATTAATGATATAGGTGATTTATATACCACCATAACAGTATTATTCAGAGTTTCACTATGTACTTACTTTTGCCAGTGACTTTTATTCTTTCATACGTTTTCATGTCACTAATCAGCATCCTGTTTTTTCAGCTTTAGCATTTCTTGTAAGGCAGGTCTGGTAGTAATACACTCTCTTAGCTTTTGAATTTCATTTTTATATTAAATCTTACATATCAAGAATAAAACAGGTGGCCAAAGTTTAAATTATATTTATATATCATATTTTATAAATATTTTAATATATTTTGTGTTTAGCCACTTTTGCCAATAGTTTTTTCAAAAATTATTTTCTCAACTTTCTGTATTACAATAAAAAAATTTTTATCTCCAAGTAGAAAGCTTTTATCATTCATCTTCTTAAACCTTTTCATTGTCTCTCTTGTTCTTACCATAAACCCAAAAATGACTCTATGAAATTACCTGACATCATAGGCATAGGGCTCTAGGTTTAGTATGAAGCAAAACAACAATAACAAAACAACAAAAAGGTAACATATTAGGTTAAAAAAAAAGATTGTGTACTATAAACTCAGATAGAACTGGCCCCTGATTTGAGCCCACTTAATCTTGTTTTCAGTCCCTTCATGTGTGGCACATTCATTCCTCAAAACCTCCATGCCGGCCATTTCCTCTTCCTTAAACAGTTCTTACCTCCCATCCCCCTTCCACAATGTTAACACCAGCTTATCTTCTGTACCACCTTGAGCATTTGTTCCTTCTGAAAGTCTTTTCTGGTATTTGTAATTTGTGACATTACATCTCATACTTATAACACATTCCTTTGCGTTTTTGCTTCATTTGACTTTTCCCCTACCTTATTTATTTATCTTTCCATCATAATTCCATTTTAAAATGTTTTGGGATTTTTGAGGGCCTCTTAATACAACCTTGTACTTTCCTCCTCAGTTCAGAGCTGAGACACACAGGAGACAAGGAGTTGACAGAGAATGTCAACAATTTTATGATATACATCTGGGAAAATGAGGCTTTAGATTTTTCAGGCAAAATACCTTGTTCTGCCTTGCCTCTGATTTAGACTAGCTTGCTCATCCAGTCCCTAGCATAGACACATACAAGTCTCTTTCGGAAAGCTTGGCCACTGACTTTGCTAATGTGGACAGACCAGAATGCGTGGCCTATTCAGGCAGGGAGATTGACTTCTGTGAAGCGTCAAGGCTCAGCATATAGCTCACCCATAGCTCACTGATATCTGATGCTTCTCCCACTCAGAGGAATGAGTTATGACAAGAAGAATGTTGTTCTAAATGAAGTCCTTATACTTGAAGTAATAAGTGTAGAATAATTAATTATACCGTTTTCCCAAATCTCTCTTCCTTTCCTTAAACTTACTGCTATTTGTTCTTTCTCATAATACAGTATCTTCTTGTACTAAATTCAGATTGTGATAGCCTCTCCTGCATGACTACTGGGTAAATAACAAAAGGAAGGCAGAAATAAAGATGTTCTTTGAAATCAATGAGAACAAAGACACAATGTGCCAGAATCTCTGGGACACATTTAAATTTCTTGTCTTTAATTAGCCCACAGAATAGTGAAACTATCCTTGGGCAATGGTAATCATTTTTCAGCTTTTTTATAGAACTGCTTTGAAAATAGCTTTACTTTTTTTTTTTTTTTGAAAGACAATGTAAGATACAATAATTTTCTCTGAGTTCCTCTTCAAAGATTTAGCCGCTAACTTCCTGGTCTTTTGTTCTCAAACTCAACTTTCCTTTTCCTTAGTTACTGTAAAACAGCCTACCGCTTCCCATCAGCTCTAATCAATAACTCACATCTGTTCCCGTAGTTACCTGGACTCATTGTTCCCCGGAAACTGCACATCTCACATGCCTCACCACTGTACCCCGTGTTCCCCTTCCCTTCCATATTTAGAAAGATATTTGCAAGTAGCCAATCTGGTCAGCTCAGCCCATGGGGGAGTGACACAGCCCATGGGGGACCCCAGCCCATGGGGGAGTGACACAGAAGTAGAAACTGTCAGAGATAAAAGCTCCCTGCTCTCCTTCCTTCCCTGTGCTCTTGTGATCTTGATTGATGCGAGTGGCACCCTTCTACAGAAGTAAATTGCCTTGCTAAGAGAACTTTTGCCTAAGTGTTGGTTTCACTTTGCGGCACTGAGCATTTATTCCTAGAGCATTTTTACACCCAACAACTCTGGGGGCTCATCTGGGATCCCCACTCTCCTTCAGAAAGGGATCTTCAGTCATCCTACCCAGGGGAGACGCATTCCAATGCCCCGTTGCGGTAGTCTCAGGGAGGGGAGATCGGGACCCACCCATTGTGATGAATAAACTCGGACTCTCAGCAACGCGAGGAGGAGAGGCTTGCAATACCGCGGTGACCAGGTAAACTCTGTGCACAGATCAAGGTAGGAAACGTCACAGGGGCGACAAAGTACTTCCTTGGTGGTTGGGGGCCGTGGGTCGGGGCATTCTGGAGGTTGAAAGTGCGTGAATGGTAGCAAGCGCTCCTGCTGCGCAGAATGAATGAGTCCAATCTGTGGTTCTGTGGTCACCTCATATGGGGGTCCCATCAGGGGTTTATGCTGACCCGCCATCAAGGCTAAGAGGAACCTGAAATATTCCCACGAGGGAAGCGGCCAGAGTGGACAAAGCGAAAGGATGCAAAGAGCCTCCAGCAGGTGGGGCTAAAGGATAGGCGAATTGAGCCTCAGTTACGATTCCAGTGAAGGATAGGCAAGAGGTCCCCTAACACAAGGGGTTGAGCCACAAGGAATCCCTCGCCAAATAGGCGAGAAATCCCTAATATGATGGGGTTGAGCCACAGCAATGCCCCGTTAGGCAAGAAATTCCTAATATGAGAGATTGCGCCTAGCCAAGACCCAATATGGGAAATATTACAAGCAAAAATGGTAAGAATAGTAACAAAGATATATACCACCTGATAGTCCCCTAAGTCTCATGAAAAAGGATATGAATAGTAACAAAGATATACCACCTGATAGTCCCCTAAGTCTCATGCTAAAATGTTGGGAAGATAATGAAAGAACTAAACATAAGAAAAAGCAACAAATGATAAAATATTGCTTTTCTATTTGGACTCAAAGACCTAACCTCAATCCGTCAATCTTCTGGCCAAAGTTTGGGTCAACTGAGGATATACTATGTCAACTTTCAGTTTAACATGTAAATAATAAAAGCCCAGTTTCTCAAGAAGAACTGGACTATGCTCTTTTTTGGAGGCAAAGACCTGTCCTCCCTTTCCCTTATGCACCTGCCCCTACTGTGGAGACAGTGAAGGAGGGTTCTCAGAGGATCCTAGCAAAGAAAACAGCACATAGGATTCCCTGGACCATCCTTTACCTAATGCCCCTAGTCCCCCATCTAATACCCCCAACCCTTCCCCTCAGGCCCAGCCTAAGTCCTCCTCTGTGAAAGGAATCCAAGCTCCTCATTCGCCAGGTGGCTTTTGACAGGCTAGCGACATCAAGGATCTGCCTCAACATGTTGTCGTTGTCGTGCAGCCTCTAGTGCGCCCCCACAGCAGAAAAAGCCCATGCTCTGCCGCAGCCTATGCCTAAGCAGACTACATTATGGGACATATGCCTTACTTTTGCCAGGGTCAAGTAATACAGGCTTCAGATGCGGCTCCAAGCAGCTAGGCATCCCCGCGGCTAAGTTTCCTGAACAAGTAGTAGATAATCTTTCAGCTGATATATCCGCTAGCATTTATTATGGGTCAGGCCAGTATTAAAAGTGAAAATATCCACCAGAAAAGACTTTGATTATTTAAAGTCACTTATATTAAAATGTACCACCAGAAAAGTATTACATGTGTATAAGTACGAGTTTAAAAGTATAGTTTAACATTAATGACTGATAATTCGCTTAATCTAGCAAGTTTCTTAATGAGATATCCAAAGCTAAAAAGAAAGCACACGTGTTTAGATTTAACTGATTACAAACGTTCGGCCAAACTTAGAAGAAACCCTCTTCAGGAATGATTAAGGGAAAAAGAACGCAACAGGTGTTCAGTAATTAATAAAGAAGTTCCTAGAGAAATTTATAAGCTGTCTGCACTTAGTCAAGCTTTAAATTACCTGCAGGACCAGGAAAGAACCATCTGTACTAATTCTAAATATGCCTTTACAGTGGCTAATACATTTAGCAAATTTCAGACTGGATTAATAGTAAAAGTCAAAGCCTTGTTCATGAGGAGTTAATCACCCAAGTATCTATTGTCCATGTCCCCAAGCACCAGAAAAGCCTGTCTTTTAAAATAACCTAGCAAATCAGATAAGCCGAACAGGCTGCTGTTTCTCCTGTAGGCACTAAAGGGAACTCAGAAAAACATTACCCATTAAAGACCCCAAGCGATGTATAACACAGTCAAAGTTTATATGTGTTTAGGAATTTATACCCTTAGCCAAACAAGTCTAGAGACTTGGTTGCCATAGATGAAATGTCTTCTATCTTCCTATTACCCTAGTAAGTCCAAACTACCTCCCAAAACAATCTACTGCCAACATTCCTACATACTTGGTTTATCTTCCACTTTCTCTTCCCTCAGAACTCAAAATTTTCCGGTACAGGTGCCACCCCTAAAGTTCCCAGTATATTGACACCAGCCTGAGGAGCTGGCCTAGTGCTTCAAACCACTGAAACTGCAGTCCAAACAGCAAGAAAAGATGGACCCATCATACCCGAGTCAAGAAAGCACCACCATCCCCAAAGTCATGGACCATTATTCAAGGGAAAAAACCCCTCAAACTAAAGTTAAGGAAAGTTTAACTCTCTTTTATCTATTCTATTACCCTTTCTTCTTTCCTCATTCTATTGCTGACCTTATTATCAATGTAACTAAGTCAGACTCATCCCAAATCATTACCTTTGAGGCTTGCCTTGTTATGCCTTGTGAAGAGGACGAACAATGGCAAAGGTATGTCTCTCCTTTAGAAAAACACCTCTGCCCCTTCAGAGAAACCACTGACCTCACACCTTGCTCATGGTGGGGGTACCAAGGCACCTTAAGTTAGGAGATACGTTCTCAATGAGCAGATGTCATCCTGACTGCCAATGAACACGGCGAGACCTCCCCAGAAGGCTGTACCAACCTAAAATCTTACCTCCTCCTTACCAAATGAACCACCCCCTCTAATTGCCAACTTTACCATTGTAACCCAGTAACTATCTCTATTAATGCTGCTACCTCTACCAACCATACGCTTCCTTTAGAAGGCTTTTACGGCTTAGGGGCAGAGGCCAATGGATACGACCCTGTAGGCCTCTTTAAAATACGCTTTATTGACCCTCCTTCACCTTCTAAACTTTCTACCCTGCCCAACAACAATGCCAAAGTAAATATTGTAGAAGTGAAGGATCTAAGACAAACTCTAGCAATTGAAACAAGGTATCAAGATATAAATGCTTAGTTGGGATGGATTCAATATTCTGTCCGCACTTTGAATAAAAGCAATTGTTATTCTTGTGTGCACAGCAGACCAGAGGCCCAGATTGTCTCCTTTCCGCTAGGATAGTCCCTCAGTCGACCAGACATGGGCTGTATAGTAGCTGTTTTCCAAGATTCCACAGCCTAAGGCAACAAATCATGCCAAGCTCTCTCTCTGCTATATCCTGAAGTCCAACACCCTGGAGGTCAGCCCCCGAGGGCCATTCAGCTTCCACCTCCTGACGTCAATTTCACCTCATGTCTCTCACAACATGGGGAGAACTTGGCATTCCTTGGAAGCTTAACACGTTGCAGCAAGCTTAGGCCCTTCCAAGAGCTTACCCATCAGTCTGCCCTTAGTCATCCTTCAGAGGATAGATGGTGGTGTTGCAGTACACCCTTAACGGACACTCTGCCAAGTAATGGGAGCGGCACTTGTGCTTTTGTCCAGTTGGCTATCCCTTTCACTGTAGAATTTCATCAACCAGAAAAAGAAAAACCACAACACTGAAAAATAAGAGAAGCCCCTTATAAGTCTTTTAACTCTCAAGTTTACATAGATGCCATTAGTGTCCCACGAGGAGTGCCTGACAGGTTCAAAGCCCGAGACCAAATAGCTGCAGAATTTGAATCCATATTTCCACAAGTAACTATTAATAAAAATGTAGCTTAGATAAATTACATCCATTATAATCAGCAGCAGTTTATTAATTACACCAGGGATGCCATCAAAGGAATAGCTGACCAATTAAAGCCTACTAACCAAAGAGCTTAAGAAAACAGAATAGCACTAGACATGTTATTAGCCAAAAAGGTGAGGTTTGTGTTATGATTAAAACCCAATGTTTTACCTTAATCCCAAACAACACTGCCCCCGATAGGAGCATAAAAAAGGCCTTACAAAGACTTACCACTTTATCCAATAAACTAGCTAAAAATTCTAGTCACTGACCCTATTTCAGGATGGCTAAGAAAGTAGTTCAGTAAACGGAAAAGAATCATAGCCTTAATTCTTATTTCTCTTGCAATTGTAATAAGTGTACTCTTTCTTGTTAGGTGTTATGTCATACCACGCATCCATAGGCTAATACAAAGGACTGTACAAACAGCACTTACTAAAGCCTCCCTTAGTTCTCCTCCACCTTATTCAAGTAAGCTTTTCCTTTTAGAAGATCAAATCGAATGGCAAAGCCAAGACATGTTAAAAACGTTTGAAGAGAAAGAATCATAAGAAAATTAAAAGGGGGGAATTGTAAGATACAATGAATTTCTCTGAGTTCCTCTTCAAAGATTTAGCCTGCTAACTTCCTTGTCTTTTGTTCTCAAACTCAACTTTCCTGTTCCCCCTTGTCCCTAGTTACTGTAAAACAGCCTACCTGCTTCCCATCAGCTCTAATCAATAACTCACGTCTGTTCCCTTAGTTATCTGCACCCACTGTTCCCCCGAAACTGCACATCTCACAGGCCTCACCACTGTACCTCAAGTCCCCCTTCCCTTCCATATTTAGAAAGATATCTGCAAGTAACAAATCAGGTTAGCTCAGACTGTGCGGTCTGACCCCGGCCCATGGGGGAGTGACACAGAAGTAGAAACTACCATTAGAGAGAGAACTTCGCTGCTCTCCTTTGTTCCCTGTGCTCTTGTGATCTTGATTGATGTGAGTGGCACCCTTCTGCAGAAGTAAATTGCCTTGCTAAGATAACTTTTGCCTGAGTGCGGGTTTCACTTTGTGGCACCGAGCATTTATTCCCAGAATATTTTTATACCCAACAACAAGCTATATCTATAGTTTTTTTTAATTTAAGGGAAAGCACATTTGTCATTAATTTGAAAGAGACAGAACTCAGGGAAAGAGTGAGATAAGATATTAGTTATATTTTTGGCTTAATTTTGCCAGTTTAGTAAAACACGAAACATAACTGTTAGTAGAGATTTGTGAGCAGAAGCAGTTCCTGTGGAATATTTGCTGTATTTTGTGTCCTCCCACCTGTATTGTTATTTTGCTCCATTTTCTTTATCTCTGCACATGTGGCCCATCTGAAATGATTGACCAAGTGGTTCTGGAGATTCTGTAAAAACAAGATAATCTTCCTTATACTTTGTATCACTTTGTCATTTTCTTTTTCTTCCTTTCCTTTGGGAATATTAATATATCTCTTAGAGTTTGAAAAGGAAACATGGTTTAACAAATTGAAATCTCAATGTGAGTTCTTTGATACCTTGGTTCTAGATCTAATGTAACTGTGTGAAGTTGATGTAGAAATATTGGGGTCTGTTTCAGAAAGCCTGCTGATCTCTGCCACCCAACACTTGGTCTCTAGGGCACAAGATGCAACTTAAAATAAAATGTTTTCCACTATCTTTCCCAGTCCTCTTGGTTTCCCCCTGCTTCCCTTTTATTTCCTTCCCTCTTCCCTATCTGTCTGTCTGTCTCTCTCTCCCATCTCTCTCTATCTCTATCATCTCTGTCTCTATCTCTATCTTTATCTCTATCTCCATCTCTATCTCTATGTCTACCTCTATCTATCTCTCTGTCTCTTCTCCCATGAATACTAAGTAGAATTTTGTTCTATGGCCATCAAACTTATACTTCTTTTTGAAATTTCTCAAAGATATTGCCCTGCTGGCTGTAATTCAATTTTGAGTCTTAGTTTTCAGAGTCTTTTTTCTTTTCATGAAACATACTTTTGAATTTGTAATGATGAAGATAACAAAATTAATTTGCGATTGTTACTCATTGCCTCAAATACATCTTATTTATTGCATTTTACTTATCCAGATTTTAAGGATATATTCTTGTTTTACTTTGTTGCTCTTGCTGTTGTTTCTTCCCCCAACCCCAGCATAGGTCTATTAACATTATTGTTTTCAAATTTTAATTGTAATATTCTAAGATTCATCCAGTCTTTCCACTTGTGTACCTTATATTCTTCATTTATGTAATGCAGACAATTATACCTATCTCATAGTTTTGAAGTAAAAGTTTGGTGAAATAATAAATATGAAACATTATTATAATATTAGACCATGTATATGTTTTAAAACAACAATTTAGGAAAAGTAATTTATTGATCTGTTTGGTAGTGTTTTGAATGGCTTAAATGAAGTTACCTGATAAACAAACTTTACCAAATGAAAAAACCTAATTCTGAGATATAAAAACTTTACTATTGATAAGCTTATGATTTACATTACATAGAGACACTTCATAATTTTAGCTTTTTTAAAAAATAAAACTCAGGTTTTACTCCCAGATATGAAAATCTTATTGCAAAAATATATGGTGTGATTAATCTATTTTACTATTTTGCTATTTGACTATATATAACATGATATTAAAATATATCATTTATATTAGCAAATAAGAATATAATTTTCATCAATATAACATCTTGACCTGCTTATCCATTTATATTTATTTTGTGATCACAGTCTATTACTTCAATTTTCTCTTGGATTATGTTCTTAATATTTTTCTCACGTTTAATTCAATCTTGCTATTACTAAATACATTTATCCTTCTAATACTACCATGCACTTTATCTCTGCTATTTCCAGAAATCTAAATAAAGTATAGTGTTCCCACAGTATTCATGAGGGAGTGGTTACAGGACACGACCCATAATAAAATCTGTGGATGATCAAGTCCTTTATATAAAATGGTGTGGTGTTTTTATATAACCTACACACATCCTTTTGTGTATTTTAAATCATTTCTAGATTACTTATGATACCTAATGCAATGTGAATTCTATGTAAACAGTTGTTATATTGTATTATTTGTTTCTATCATTTTTATGGTTGTATTATTTTTTTCCAAGTATTTTTGATCTGCAGCTGGTTGAATCCCAGGGTGCAGAACCCACATATAAGGAGGGCCAACTGTACTACTTTCTCCATTGTCCTTGACCACTCTGCTGCTTCTCCATCTACATGAAACTCAGATCAGTCAGTCAAGCCCAGACATCTTTGATTGGCAAAGTATATAGATTTCTTCAAGTCTTCTTTCCTCTACATCTCTCCTGTCCTCAAACAACTCTCAAGTAGTATCCATTGAATCTTTCAAAATTGTTCTTGACATTAACTGCAAAGAGTATTTCCCCAATCGTTATCACTCTAGTAACCACATTTATTGCAGCTTCATTTTTGTGTGCACTGGAGCATTCATATAAATCCAAATACTTACCCAGGCAGCAGGATGTCAGAGATAAATGAGCAGGCAAAGATGTTTTTCTCTAAAGTTATACAAGTTTCACATAAATATAGACTAGAAAGGATAACAGGACATTTGAGATTCAGTCCATTCGACAGGTCTAACTAAAGTTAAGTTTTGTAAAATGTATAATTATGTCTTGTCTATTTTATGTCTTTTATCACATTGAAGTCTTGAATTAAACATTTTGTGATTATTTAATAAAATTTATGGCAGAATATTCACATTTTTTCCTGAGTTCATAGTTTTTGAATCTTACATTTATTCTCTTCCTCTATAACTTTATCTTTATGCTGATTCAGACTTCTATATCATAGATTTATGTCATACTTAAAATACCTTTCTCTCTAAAAAACAATTTGATCACTCCTTCACGGATCTGCTTGGTCTTCACTCCATAGACAATTGGATTTAAGGTGGGAGGCAGCATCAGGTAAAGGTTGGCTATAAAAATGTGAACATGATGAGGTATGGTGTGTCCCCCAAAGCGGTGAGTGAAGAAGTTGAAAAAGGCTGGGACATAAGTGATGAAAATAGCACATATATGTGCTGTACAGGTACTGAAGGCTTTGTGGCAGCATCTGCAGATGACAAATTCACTACAGCACGGATAATCATGGTGTAAGACATGGAGATACAGAACATGTCAAACCCCCCAATCAATATGGCAGCTATGAGACCATAGATGGCATTAATCTGGACATTACCACAGGATAATTTGGCCACAGACATATGTTAAAATAGGTGTGGTGGATGAGGTTGCCCCTGCAATAGGGAAGACACTTGATCAGGAAAGCAAATGGAATCATAAGCAACACACTTTGAATGAAGGTGACAAGCCCAACTTTGGTAATTACAGTGTTGGTGAAGATGGTGGAATAGTGTAGAGGGTAGCAAATGGCCACATAGCGGTCTAGAGCCATAAGCATGAGCGCCCCAGACTCCATGCCTGTCAGCATGTGGATGAAAAACATCTGCACAAGGCAGGCATTAAAGTCAATTTCCTTGAGGCCAAACCAAAAAATACATAACATATTGGGAACAAATGAGGTGCATCCAGTAACATCTGTAAGAGACAGCAAGTCTAGGAAGTAGTAGGTGGGTTGGTGCAGGGCCTCCTCATGGCTAATGAGGTATATAAGTCCACAGTTCCCCAAAACAACAATGATGTACATGAAGCAGAAAGGCAGGGAGATCCAGATGTGTGCAGCTTCCAGCCCAGGAACGCCACTGAGAATGAAATATCTTGGTGTCAGGCTGGAGCTGTTGGCTCCATTCATGATGCTCACCAATTACAAAACATGCTAGTTTTTGTGCCAATAAAGTTGTCCTGTATAAGGAGAGAGTAGTGAGATTATTTTCATCCAGAGAAAAAAATATAAAAACGCATTTTTCACAATCTAAATAATAAATTTAGGAAAAAATAATCATTTTGTATCCAAACTATGTTTTTTGATTCTATTGAATGGTCCTATGACTGTAACTGAACCAACAGAATAAAAACATATTGTAAACATAGTGCCAAAGCCCTGGCCTGGCTTGGTTTTCTACTGGAAACTCTGTTTATATGTGTCTGCTTACATTCCTGGGCCATTTAGTAATGCTTGACTTTGCAACCTCAACCAATTTCCAAATTATAAACTCTATTTAAGTAACATTGATTTTCTTAATTCACTACAAACTATCCCTTCTTTCAAGAAATACTTTGAGATGTGTCCACTGGGTTATAGTTAATCAAATTATGTCAGCACCTACCAATTATGCACTTCTATTATGATTCAGCTTGATCTATATACAAGTGTAAACCTGGCAGGTCTGGATTTTCCAAGTCAGAAAAATCAAGGACAGAGATGGGAAGGGCCAAAAAGGTACATAATAAGTTACAATTTATAAATCATGGCCATGTGTATTTTGTATTCGTCTCTTTTTGTATTCTTTCAGGTTTCTTGATGGTAAGCATGAAATATTTTTGAAATGTTTGCATTTAGCTAATAACATTATTAAGCTCTACGTAATTTTCATGCTTTTTGTTAACTCTCCTCAAATCTCTATGTTGATAAGCATGATATATATAAGCATGATACATATGATAAATCCATGATATATATCACTCTTTAAGTGTGCTTACATATACTATTAATATACAGTACATGTATTACCTATGATCATAATTTTATACCTTCTTTTGATGTATCATTTTTAGCCCCCAAATAACTATAGACAATTATATTGGGTAGGATAAAATCTTTACTAATTTTTTAGTCCAGTTTTTGAGAATGGTTAGCTTTCCATCTTTCTTCTGAAGTCTGAAACATGAATCTAACCTTGTAAGCTTTTCTGATTAAAGTGAGACTCCATAGTCTTACCTTTTGTTTCTTTCCTTCTTTCTTTCTTTCTTTCATTCTTTTTAAAAATATTTCCCCAGTTATTGGTTGCTTTAGATTACCAAATTGAATTATTCATTTTTCCATATCATTGCAGTTTAACAAATTATTTTATATTATCTTCTGTTATATGTTAATCTCCTTCTTCAAAGTTCTAATTTTGATTGCTTCTCTCTCTCTCTCTCTTTCTCTGTGTGTGTGTGTGTGTGTGTGTGTGTGTGTGTGTGTGTCCGTCTGTCTCTATCGCTGTGATGGGATTTAACCTAGAGTTTTCTACAGAGTTTTTTTTAACCATTAATCAGTGGAAATCTTTTCAAGTGTTGCTGTATAAATAATCTCAGTATATAAAAAAGATAAAAGTAAAACCTTCTAGAAAACAATAAAAAATAGAACTGATTATTTTTAAAGCATTTTGCTTTAAGGCAAAATACTTTTAATGTTAAGTAAAGTAAACCATGTAATTTTTCAGCACAACCTGGAACATAATAAGAAAAATACGTAATACTATCACAATTATTGTTAGTATTATTATCATTATATCGCTCTACAAAATAAGTGAAAATAAAATTATATCCAGCCATCCCTTAAAACCTCCTGGATACTTCCGTCTTACTCAGAGCAAACACCAACATCCTTATATTTGTTTACAAAATCCTACACAATTAGGGCTCTTTTAAATATCTGAATGTATCTCCCAGTATTCTAATTCTCATTCTCTCAGTCCATCCATACCTACTGAAGTTTTCTCAAGCTTAACAAACATGTACAATTAAAGATATTTCTACTTGCAGTATCAATGCCTGCTATGTTCATCCCAAGCTGTATAATGAACGGATGGATGAATAAATTCTAAAATCTCCTTTTTGGATGGTTCTCCTGCTTATACATAAATACCTTAACAAATTAGTGTCACAATAAACTTTGAAAAATAAAAACGTATTAGGAAGACATGATTTCAAGTTTCAAGATGTCCTTAATCTTATCTACAAAAATTAAAAATTAATGAAATCGGAGATATTTAGAATTGGGAAGAGTACATGTAGTAGATGCATGCAAATTGTCTTTTGTATTATTTTGCATATCCCCAAAATAAACATATTATAAATAGAAAAATGTTACAGAAATGTAAATTTGGCTTTGAGGAATGTTGCCCATTCACACAGATAAAATTTTCTAATAAGATAATGGGATCACTGCCATCTGAGGTATCAAGCAGTGGGAAAACGGCATATGTCATTAATGTCGTCAAGAACTTGGGCTACATGATCACTAGAATTTCTTCCAAGTGTTCTTTTTTTTAACTTTTAAGTTCAGGGATACAAGTGCAGGTTTGTTCCATAGTTAAATTTTTGTCATGGGGGTTTGTTGTGGAGATTATTTCATCACTCAGGTAATAAGTCTAGTACCCATTAGTTATTTTTTCTGATCTTTTCCGTCTTCCCACCCTCCATCCTAACTCTTACACTAATTCATTTTCAATGGTAGAGATGTTACTGCTTCCTGAGGAATACTCTTCCATCTATGGAGGGCAGAGAAGTTTTTCTATTATTGTATAGAAATATGCTTGCCTATATCTCTTTGGTCCTTGTCACATCAGCCTCATGGAATCCCCTTCCTTCAGGACCTAAACTACATTTAATTTTCTCCCTCTTCTCCCTCCTCAAGGCAATTTGCAAATTCCTTGGTTTCAAAATTCTAAAGAGTGAAGTAATTCAGAACTTCCTTATTCAACTGCTCTCTCATTTAAATCCCTCCTATATAGTAGCAATTTTGTGCATTTTATATATTTGTTTTCTTTTTATCTGAACCATTTTCATCCAAACTCACCCTGGTGCCAGATGTTTTTAAATTCCCATTCATGACTGATATTACTTAGAAATAATTGCACAATATTGATGAGGAACCCTATGTAACAAACTTAATATCTTCTCTGGGGATTTTCCAAGCCAAGGTAAAAAAATTCTTTGGGGCTTTACAGATAGATGTCCCATAGGTCTCTGAAAAGGAGGTGAATTTACCTTTGTTGAAAATAGATCTATAATTAGAATATGTCTATGCCTGACAGAAAAAAATCTCAAATTTTATTATTGATGGGACATGTGAAGTGTCTAGCATCTATTGAATCATAAACCTGGAATTTTACCTGACTCCCTAGGGCAGTTCCATTCCAGTTTCATAACATTTTATATATTTATTCATGTGCCATGTGGGTATTTTAAAGCTTTCTCAAAAATATTGAGTAAACAATTTCAGAATGTTTTATGCTAGGGGCTCATTAAAATATATATTCTGCAATAAGGCTGAGTTATGTCTTTATTTGAAAGGTTAACACTGTTAAATGCACTGTCTCTCCATCACTGTTCCCCTTTACTTCAGTAGAAATATAGCATTCTTTTCTGTTGCAATCCCCGTTAGTACATCTTGATCAAGTTTAAGGAAACATCAAAGGCTGGGATTGAAATTATCCTCAAAGTAGACAGATGTCTGGAAAGGAATCAAAGAACATCGTGACCACAATTTAATACCTTGGGTTTGTAGAATGAATGCAGTCTATGGAGAGGAGAAAACGGTAAACAGTAATATGATGTAATGGCACATCTTTCTTCTAGCACAAGCAGCTACGATGGACAGAATCCCCACAAATGTAGGTCCTTTTTTCTTTTTCAGTGAGCCAGCTCGCTTACCGAAACACATAAAATAAGCTCTATGCCATAGAGCTTCAGCCCAGAGTGAGTCTTCAATTATTAACAATATGGTGGTGTGTAGCTTTATTCCAGAGCAGATAGCTAATAAATGAAAAACATAGATGTCAGCTTTCCTTTTAAAACTTGCTGAGTTACAATATTAATAGCATTTTTAAAATAATACTTAAATAAATAGTAAGCTATCAGATGCTAGGTAATGCTTCAAGTCCTAGACTCTGCTACAAAGTTCCTCAAGTCAGAAAATCTTTGAAAAATATCCTTACTTCGGTTTTTTTTTTTGCTTTTTGTTTGTTTTCTGAATTAAAACTGTATTAAGCAGGTATATCTGCTTATAAATGCTATGCATATATAATAATATACTTATGAATAGGTGTGAGAAATTAAAATGAAGTCTATTTATCTGGTTATAATACAGGCATACCTTAGACATAGCACAGATTTGGTTTCAGACCACTGCAATAACGTGAGTCACATGAATTTTGGGTTTCTCAGTGCACATAAAATGTATGTTTACACTATACCATGGTCTATTAAGTATACAATAGCATTATGCCTAAAAAATATATAGACCTTTTTAAAAATATGCTATTGCTAAAAAACGCTAGCGATTATCTGAGCCTTCCGTGAGCCATAATCTTTTTGCTGGTGGAGAGTCTTTGACTGCTGTTGACTACTTAGGGTGGTGGTTGCTGAAGTTTGGAGTGATTGTGGCAATTTCTTAAAATAGGACAATAAATGTTGCCCCATTGATTGACTTTTACTTTCATGAAAGATTTGCCTGTGGTATGTAATGCTATTTGATAGCATTTTACCCACAGTGAAGCAGCTTTCAGAGTTAATCCTCTCAAACCATACTACTGCTTTCTCAACTAAATCCAGGTAATATTCAAAATCCTTTGTTGTCATTTCAACGATGTTCACAACATCTTCACCAAGAGTAGATTCCATCTCAAGGAACCATTTTCTTTGCTCATCCACAAAAATCAACTCCACATTATTCATGTTTTATCATGAGATTGCAGCAATTCAGTCACATTATCAGGTTTCGTTTTCAATTCTATTTCTTTTGCTATTTACATCACATCTTTAGTGATTTCCTCCAGTAAAGTCTTGACTCCATCGAAGCCATTTATAAGGGTTAGAACTAACTTATTTCTAACCCCTATTAATGTTGATATTTTGACCTCATCCCATGAATTATAAATGTTGTTAATGGTATCTAATATGGTGAATCCTTTCTAGAAGGTTTTCAATTGACTTTACACATGCACATCAGAACAATTACCATCTATGGCAGCTATAGTCTTACAAAATGTATTTCTTAAATAAATAAGACTTGAAAGTCACAATTGCTTCTTGTTCCATGTGCTGCAGAATGGATGTTGTATGAGCAGCCTTGAAAATAAATTAATCTCCCTGTACATTTCCATTACAGCTCTTGAGTTGCCAGGCACATTGTCAATGAGCAGGAATATTTTGAAAGGAATCCATTTTTCTTGAGCAGTAGGTTTCAACAGTGGGCTTAAAATATTCAATAAACCATGCTCTAAACGTATGTACTGTCATCCAGGCTTTGATGTTCTATATAGAGAGCAAAGACAACATAGAGTTAGAATAATTATTAAGGGCCCTAGGATTTGGGGATTGGTAAATGAGCATTGGTTTCAACTTAAAGTCACCAGCTGCATTAGCCCCTAACAAGATAGTCAGCCTGTTCTTTGAAGTTTTGAAGACAGACATTGACTTATCCTCTCTATGATGACATGCTCTTCCAAAAGAAGGCTGTTTCAGCCAGACACGGTGGCTCATGCCTGTAATCCCAGCATTTTGGGAGGCCAAGGTGAGTGGATCACTTGCGGTCAGGAGTTTGAGACCAGTCTAGCCAACATGGTGAAACCCTGTCTCTATTAAAAACACAAAAAGTTAGCCAGACGTGGCAAGGGAGCCTGTAATCCTAGCTACTTGGGAGGCTGAGGCAGGAGAATCACTTGAACCGGGGAGGCAGAGGTTGCAGTGAGCCAAGATCGGGCCACTGCCCTCCAGCCTGGGTGACAATGGTGAAACTCTGTCTCAAAATAAATAAATAAATAAATAAATAAATATATATATATATATATATATATATATAGAGAGAGAGAGAGAGAGAGAGAGAGAGAGAGAGAGAAGGCTGTTTCATCTACATTGAAAATCTGTTGTTTAGTGAATCCATTTTTATCAATGATCGTGGGATCTTCTGGATAACTTGCTGCAGGTTCTACATCAACACTTGCACTTGCGTGTTATGGAGATGGCTTCTTTCCCTCATGAACCAACTTCTGCTAACTTAAACTTTTCTTCTGCAACATCCTTACATTTATCAGGCTTAAAAGAATTAAAATAGTTGATGCCTTGCTCTAGATTAGGTTTTGGCTTAAGGGAATATCGTGGCTGGTTTGGTCTAGACCACTTAAACTTTCTTTATATCAGCCATTAGGCTGTTTTGCTTTCTTGTCATTTATGTGTTCATTGCAGTATCCCTTTAATTTCCTTCAATAACTTTTCTTTTGCATTCACAACTTGGATAACTGTTTGGCATAAGAGGACTGGCTTTTGGTCTATCTCAGCTTTTGTCATGCCTTTCTTACTAAGTTTAATCATTTATATATATATTTTTTAATTTAAATTGAGAGGTATGTGACTCTTCCTTTCACTATACACTTAGTGACCATTGCAGGGTCATTTATTGGCCTAATTTCAATATTGTTGTGCCTGAAGGAATAGGGGGGCCCAAGAAGAGGGAGAGAGACAGGAGAGTGGCTGGCCAGTGTAGCAATGAGAATACATACAACATTTATAAATTAAGTTTGCCATCCTATGAGTGCAGTTTGTGGAATCTCAAATTGATCTATAGGTTCAATATTGTCTTCACAAAAATCCAAGACAGCTTTTTGTAGAAATTACACAATTAATTCTAAATTATCTATGGAAATGCAAAGGACAAAGGATATCCAAAGAATCTTTTTAAAGAAGGACCTAATTGACAGTGCTTACACTAATTTAAAAATGTATTATAATGCTATGACAATCAATAAAATATAGTAACAGTATAAAATTAGAAATATAAGTACCACCAAATCTAAAATAAAAGTTAAAAAAGAGAAATTGAAGATGACATAAATAAATGGAATGATATCTCGTGTTCATGGACTGGAAGAATTAATATTCTTAAAATGTCTATAAAGCCCAAAGCAATCTGCAGATTCAATGCAATCTCTATAAAAATTCCAATGTCATTCTTCACAGAAATGGAAAAAAATCTTAAAATTTCTATGGAACTATAAAAGACCTTAATTAGTCAAAGCAATATTGACCAAAAAGAATAAAGCTGGAGACACCACACTACAGAATTTCAAAATATATTGCAAAGCTATAGTAATCAGAACAGCATGGTACTGGCATAAAAACAGATACATTGACCAATGGAATGGGCTAGAGATCCCAGAAGCAAACCACACATTTAAAAAGAAAAGGACCTGTCTTCAATAAATGGTATTGGGAAAAATTGATATCCACATACAGAAAATATAAATGAACCCTTAGCTTGTCTCTTATACAAGAATCAACTCAAAATAAATTAAAGATTCAAATATAAAACTTGAAACATTAAATTAATAAAAGAAAACATAGGAGAAAAGCTCCATGACATTGGTTTGGGCAAAGATTTAATGACTGTGACCCCAAAAGCACCAGGCAACAAAAGCAAAAATAAACAATTGAGATTGGATTATATTAAAATGCTTCTGTATAGCCAAAAATACCAATAGAGAGATAACTTCTCAGATTGAAAAAAAATTTGCAAATCATATGCTGGATAAGGACTAATATCCAAAATAAACAAGGAATTCAAACTACTCAATTGCCAAAAAAAAAACCCTATAAAAAGTAGAGAAAGGACTTGAATAAAAATGTCTCAAAAGAAGACATACAAGTGGCCAAAAAGTATGTGAGGAAATGCTCAACATCACTAATCTTTAGAGAACTGCAAATTAAAACCATAATAAGACATTACCTCACACCTGTTACATTGGCTATTATCAAAAGGATGAAAGATAAGAGCTGTTGATGAAAATGTTGAGAAAAGTGAACCATTATACACTCTTGTTGGGAATTTAAATTAGTATAGTTCTTTTAGAAAACAGTATAGAGGTTCCTCAAAAAATCAAACACGGAATTACCATATGATCCAGCAGTCTCACTGGGTATATGCTCAAAGAAATTGAAATCAATATGTTAATGAGATGTCTGCAACCTCGTGTTCATTGCAGTATTATTTGCAATAGTCAAAATGTGTCCATCAATGAATGAATGGGTTTAAAAATATGGAATATGTACACAATGGAATACTATTTGGCCTTAAAAAATTCAGAAAATTCTGTCACAAGCAACAACATAGATGAACCTAGAGGGCATTGTTAAGTGAAATATATTATTTTTTATTATGGCATAGCTATGCTTCTGCACTGTACCATTAGTCTAGGTCTTTATATAATCATTTGGAACTAAGTTTCATTACCCTCAGTAGGCATCATTATACCCAGTCCTTAGTAATGAAGCAAAGATATTCATTATTGCTACTCTTGGTAAACATTGCATAGAAGGAAGATCTTAACCAGTGCAATAAGGCAAGAAAAAATCATACAAATAGGAAAGAAAGAAGCAAATTACTCATTTTTCACAGAGTGAAAAATATGTCTAGATAATTCCAAATCATGTTCATAAAAATGTTATAAATAATAAGCAAATATATTGGAGACATGAAATAAAAGTTCACATATACAACTCAATTGTTTGCATACCGGCATTATTTAAGTTTTCTTTAAAAACATCTTTTTCAGTACTAATTTTGTGCATGACATTGTGCTAAGTTTTGAAAAAAGAGGCAGGTGTGCCTCTCAAAAGGATTTAATTATGATACTCCAAGTGGTTTCAGACATATGTATCTCTGCTGTACCTGTAAAAAATTATGTCCCCAGGAGTCCCAGACTATAATGACGTCAAAATAGTTCTGAAGACTGCTCCCACTGGCTTAGCCAGTATCCTTAGGACCCAGATATACCTGATTCTTAATTCTCTTTTGTTCATATTCTAAACATACACACATACACAAATGCATTCACCGGGGAAATCACTTCTCTTCTGAGACTACAGTAGAGACAATAACAACCAAGTGTTTTCCATTACTCAACTTCAGAATATAAAACATCCACAACATACACACATGCATGCATGCACGTACACACACATATGGACAGATAATAGAAATGTTCCCTCCTCCACTTGCCTCCCAAGGTCTCAATGTAGGTATTATATTTCTCCTTCAGGACCAAGAGGATCATATAGACATAAATATGACTTGATCCATGGATAGGTCTTCAGTTTCTTGAGGAACTCCGGTAGTTTTCAGGGTAAGCAGATTTACTTTTGTTTAAGCTTTTATTTTAAGTTCAGGCTTACATGTGCAGGATTTGGAAGTTTGTTACATAAGTTAATATGTGTCATGGAGGTTTGTTGTACAGATTATTTCATCACCCAGGTATTAGGCCTAGTATCCATTAGATATTTTTCCTGATTCTCTCCCTCCTATGGGAGTTATGCACAGCAAAAGAAACTATCAACAGAGTAAACAGACAGCCTACAGGATAGGAGAACATTTTTGCAAACTATGTATCTGACAAAGGTCTAATATCCAGATCTTTAAGGAACTTAAATTTAGAAGAAAAAAACAACCTATTAAAAAGTAGGAAAGGGATATGAACAGACACATCTCAGAAGAAAACACGTATGTGGCCAACAATCATATGAGAAAAAGCTCAACATCACTGATCATTAGGGTGAGCAGATTTCTGAACTGAGATTTCTTTATTCTTATTAAAGGGATGGGTGCAGATTACAGTAGCTGAGAAATGAGGATGAGTAAGAGAGTTGTCAGAAGAGTTATTCTCCTAGCTTTTAAAATGGTGCAGCAGACAAACTGGCTTGTATGTTCCATTTTCACTTTGGATAAAATATTCACATTTCAATTACTGAAACAATCTTTGCAGGAAGTATTCTATTTATTCCCTCTGGCTGTGAAAGCTAAAAGCAGCATTTCTGAGAGAAAAGAATTTTTTCTGTGATCTGAAAAAAAGAGAGATGACAGCCTCATTCCATACTTTTCTGTGTTTTGTCTTCTTTTCAGTGAGTTGCCTCTATTTCACATGATAGTAATGTTATTTGAATTATATCTCAATTAGAAAAGTGACAAGAGTTCATTTATACAGCCCTAATATTTCATAAAATAAGGACATAAAAATTTTATAAAAGACACATATGAAAATAGGATAGCCAGTTTTATACAACCTTAAATTTTCAATAGTGACATCCCTGAAGTGACAGGTGGGTCACCTCCAATATGTCAAGGAGGAACTATAAATATCAATATTGATATTTTTAAATTAGAAAGCCTACTTAGTTTTCCTCCAATATCCTTCTATATGGGATATGCCCCCATCACACAACTTGCTCCTTTTAAAAAATTTTAATCAACACATTCCGGCTGATATAGCCCACTTCTTCAGACCCGTGAAGCCTATTTTCATCTATTCTGTGGTCATAACTTTGAGTTTGTTCTTATTTTCTCACAGCACACTATCACACCAAATATTCTCTCCCTTACTATTCAGAAGTGTTTTGTTGGTCCTTGTTCTACCACTGCCTGTTCTTCTGTGGGCCTTGAAAAACGTATTGAACATCTTCTGTATACAAAAGAAACTTAGTTTTGGAGATTACATAGCCTCAAAAATATTTGATAAAAATATTCTTTATTTTAAGCCTCAAAAATATTTGATTCTATGGCTGAAGTTTTGATATGGGTAGAATATAAAGCACTATGTTCTAAAGGGAATGTCAATTTATTTTGTTTAAGATGATAAGCATCTTTATTTTCACTGAATTGACTCTAGAGTCAATTAGACTAGACTGTAATCTTAGGAAAACATTGGATTCTCATAAGTTCTTGCATTTTTAATGATCCTTCATCCTCTATATATCATGGTACTTATAAAACAAGTGGTCTTTTGCTGATATTAGAAAGTGGATTATTATTATTATTATTTATTTGCCTCTAAGATCATTCTATGATTTCGCTTCAAGAAAACTACAGCTACAAGGGGATGATTCATATTTTTCTGTATTTAGGTTTTCTGCAAACCAAAAGGGTGGAGTTTGGGCTAAAACTAGATTGAAAATATTGTCAGTATGTCCATTAGGACAGATTTAATTTGAAAGGTAAGCCCACAGGAACTAATGAAGTCTGTTAACATTTCAGAATACAACGGAGATCTCTAAGATGGTGAGCACCTAGAATAGAGCAAATATTTAATCAATTCTTGACCACAGAGTTGTTCAGTTCATGGCCAACGTTGGCCTGGAGAATGGACTACATGATAACAAAGACCCCAGATATTCAGGTCCAAATGTACTGACTAGACTCAGTTTTTCCTGTCAACACCTAATGCTTAAGGCACACACCCAGACAGTGTATATATCACATATTAAACATAATAGAACAAATATAGTCATTGATCTACAAGGAAAACAAAATAGCCATTATGGGAAAGAAGACTGATGGTCAGTCACTCCTTGAAATTACTCTTTTTTTTATTTCCTGCTCACAGAGGCAATGCTATAACTGCTATACAATGAACTTCCAACAGTCATTATGTCATTTCTAAATGGCACCAGCCTAACTCCAGCTTCATTCATCCTAAATGGCATCCCTGGTTTGGAAGATGTGCATTTGTGGATCTCCTTCCCACTGTGTACCATGTACAGCATTGCTATTACAGGGAACTTCGGCCTTATGTACCTCATCTACTGTGATGAGGCCTTACACAGACCTATGTATGTCTTCCTTGCCCTTCTTTCCTTCACAGATGTGCTCATGTGCACCAGCACCCTTCCCAACACTCTCTTCATATTGTGGTTTAATCTCAAGGAGATTGATTTTAAAGCCTGCCTCGCCCAGATGTTCTTTGTGCACACCTTCACAGGGATGGAGTCTGGGGTGCTCATGCTCATGGCCCTGGACCACTGTGTGGCCATCTGCTTCCCTCTGCGTTATGCCACCATCCTCACTAATTCAGTCATTGCTAAAGCTGGGTTCCTCACTTTTCTTAGGGGTGTGATGCTTGTTATCCCTTCCACTTTCCTCACCAAGCGCCTTCCATACTGCAAGGGCAACGTCATACCCCACACCTACTGTGACCACATGTCTGTGGCCAAGATATCTTGTGGTAATGTCAGGGTTAACGCCATCTATGGTTTGATAGTTGCCCTGCTGATTGGGGGCTTTGATATCCTGTGCATTACAATCTCCTACACTATGATTCTTCAAGCAGTTGTGAGTCTATCATCAGCAGATGCTCGACAGAAGGCCTTCAGCACCTGCACTGCCCACTTCTGTGCCATAGTCCTCACCTATGTTCCAGCCTTCTTTACCTTCTTTACACACCATTTTGGGGGACACACCATTCCTCTACACATACATATTATTATGGCTAATCTCTACCTACTAATGCCTCCCACAATGAACCCTATTGTGTATGGGGTGAAAACCAGGCAGGTACGAGAAAGTGTCATTAGGTTCTTTCTTAAGGGAAAGGACAATTCTCATAACTTTTAAAGTCTTCTGAGATGTTAGAATTTTCTTAGCCAGGTTGAGATCACCAAGTCAATAGGGAGCTCTTTAAATGACACCAGAAATCTGGCCACAGGAATATTTTTATGATACTCGGATTACTCTACATCTTTGGAAAGGGTACCATCATGTTCAAATAGGTAAATACCCTCTCTTATGTTATTCCATGTTCTTTAAAGCCTTTTTACTATAGAGGACTTCGAAGTTCACTGCATTTAATCTTCACAGACATCATCTTCTCTCCTAAATGACAGTCTACACAAATTTGCAGCACAGTGGTTGGATCACTAACACTGGAGTGAAACTTTTTAAAAAATTTAAATCTCTGGCAAAACATGAGCCGTGTTCATTTATGTCTGTCCTAACTTACTTAGCTCATCATTTTCCTGCCAAAATCACTTAGAGTTTATTCTGCTTCTATCCCAAGTTTGCCAGCTGTATATCTATCCAGTAGCAACCCATACATATGTTAACCAGAAAACTTCTAAAGTTGTAAATTGAAGCATGCCTGTAATACCCAGAAGCTGGCAATCACACCAATGTCCATCAACATTAGACAACATAAATAAATAATTGTGGTCTATTCAAATATAGTATTAGGTGAAAGAGATAAAAACACATATTATATATTGTCATTGATGTACAGTTCAGAAGTAGGCCAAACTAACTGAGATAATGTTTAACTTTGAGAATGAGAAACCAGGTAATGAGGGGGATGCTTCTGAGGTACCACCGTTGATTAGTTCTTGACCTGGATGGTAGTTGCAGGGTGTATCAACTTAGTGATATTTCATGAGCCTATTATTTGTAATATCTGCTCTTTTTGCCTGTGTACTATGCTTCAACATTTTTATTTAAAATAATATGTCTTGAGCACATACTCTCACCTCCCTAAGCTGTGAGACATTTCTTTCTTGCTTCCTATGAAAACTGTCTATAGTTTACAAAGTATATATACTTTCTTTTCTTTCAGAAGTATGTTAACTTTAGCATAAATAATATGTGCATATTTATACAAATCATAATAAAACAACAAAGACAACATCATCATAAAAAAATTAAACTTTCCTTTTGAAAATGTCCTCCATCTAGTCCCTTTTTAGTGATGGCCTCTTAAAAATATTGTTTGTGTAGCAAAGACTTGGAACCAACCCAAATGTTCAACAATGATAGACTGGATAAAGAAAATGTGGCACATATACACCATGGAATACTATGCAGCCATAAAAAAGGATGAGCTCATGTCCTTTGTAGGGACATGGATGAAGCTGGAAACCATCATTCTCAGCAAACTATCGCAAGGACAAAAAACCAAACACTGCATGTTCTCACTCATAGGTGGGAATTGAACAATGAGAACACTTGGACACAGGAAGGGGAACATCACACACCGGGGCCTGTTGTGGGGTGGGGGGAGGGGGGAGGGATAGCATTAGGAGATATACCTAATGTTAAATGACGAGTTAATGGGTGCAGCACACCAACATGGCACATGTATACATATGTAACAAACCTGCACGTTGTGCACATGTACCTCAGAACTTAAAGTATAATAAAAAAAATATAAAAATATATATATATTGTTTGTGTATGTGTATGTTTTTGTTGTTCTTCTTTTTGGTGGTTATGTCTTTTACTCCAAGCTATGTTTAAACTTTAATAGATTACCAACTACTCTGTTACACACAGTGAGGATTTAATTTAATACCTGTATCTATATCTGTCACCTGCCCTTTCCCTCAAAATATTTTATGTGTAAATGTGTATGTATATAATCACACACACACATATAAAACATCAATGTTATATCTTTAATTTTCTGTTACAAGATAATTACCACCTTGCATTAATTCTGGAAATCTTTTTGATTTGTTTATAGTTTGGTTGCAATAACGGAAAACTAATAAATACTATTTGAATTACTATAATTATATAAATAATTTTATGAGTGTTGAATGTGAATGCTAATCACTTTACAGCAAAGTAGGGATTATATTTTCTTCTTCATTAGTTCAGTATCATCATCTTCATTATTCTTGAAGTATGTTTCCAGTATCAATATTTTTTCAGAGACTTCTGAGAATATTTTGGACCAATCAAAAAAGGAAAGGAGTTATAGACAATTAGAAAATAACATTTATAACAGAGAAGAAGGAATGATAGCAAAAATATCCAAGAAAAGAAATATAAAGTTGTGAAAATCTCACAAAAAGGACACGAAAAAGGCAAGGCAATGTAAAACATAAAAGTAATGATATAGATCATCTCCTCAGGATGTCAAATGTCTGACTTTATGATTGCTATTAAAAGAGAAAACTGCTAAAGCAAAGAATAATTTATCCCAACCACTATGAAATAATTTTTAAGAACCAAATTCAAAATGTGATTTTTAAGAAATACCAAGAAATGCCAAAATACCTAGAAGAATTGTTGATAGAAGACTCAAACCCGGACATACAACTGTGAGAATATGTGACCTACTTTTTATGCAAATTTCAATATACAATGCATTATTATTAACTCTAGTCACCATACTGCACATTATGTCTTTATAATGTACTCATTTGATAACTGTAAGCTTATATTTTTTGGCCACCATCTCTTCATTTCCCTCACCCCCTAACATGCTTCTAATCTGTTTCCACCCTTCTCTCTGTTTCTATGAATTTGGCTTTTTAAAAATTCTACATGTAAGTGAGATAATGAAGTATTTATCTTTCTATGCCTGGCTTATTTCACTTAGTTTTCCAGGTTCATCCATGTTGTTATAAATGGTAGAATTTCTTTCTTTTGAAGGTTAAATAATATTCTATTATATATATATATATGATGTTTTCTTTATCCATTCACCTATTGACACACTTGCCAGGAGGAATACAGATAGTCCTCTGCTTTATTTTAGCTCATAACTGCATCTTTCTTTTAATTTTCTTGATAGTTATTTTCTTGAATGAATAATTAAAGAAAATGATTTGAATAAACTAGGTTACTGATAACTTGTTTGTTCATATTTAAAAAGTGGAGGCTGAGAAACTACAATGCTTATCAAAATTACTGAATTTTTTTTTTTTTTTTCTGGAGACGGAGCCTTGCTTGTCGCCCAGGCTAGAGTGCAATGGTGCAGTCTTGGCTCACTGCAACCTCTGCCTCCCAGGTTCAAGCAATTCTCCTGCCTCAGCCTTCCGAGTAGCTGGGATTACAGGTGCCTGCCACCACGCCCTGCTAATTTTGTATTTTTAGTAGATCTGAGGTTTCACCATGTTGGCCAGGCTGGTCCTGAATTCCTGACCTCAAGCCATCTGCCCGCCTCCGCCTCCCAAAGTGCTGGGGTTACAGGTGTGAGCCACCACAGCTGGCCCTGAAATTACTGAATGTTAAGTAGAAAATCTTCACGCTCAGAAAGGTAGTTTATCGGGAAGTTAAATCGTAATTTCAGCACACCAAGAAATCCAACGTAACAATGACCCTCAATTCTGACTATGGGTAAGGTTGGTCCCACTTACATCTACTTATGGCCTGTTCTATTTTACTTTCCATTATCTGGCACCTATAGCTGGGGGAGACCAGTTACTCATAGAGAACCTTACTGAATAAGGTGGCATATATACTTGGATTGTGTTCAAGAGCATACAGTAGAGTTTTGGTGCAATCTTTCTGGGGGGATAAAAGTCTAGCAACATAAAAGCTTTAAAATTAGCATATTTTTTACTCAATATCTATTCAGGTCTATAAATTTTCCAATGGAATTAATCATGATTGTGTTGATGTTCACCATCAAGTTGTAACATATTGGAAATTAACTCAATGTTTTAAATTTTAAAAATACGTAAAGGAAAGTTTATAGCCATAAAGTAGCTTTGCTGACTTTGACATATTGCAGAGGAGTGAAAGAGTGAAATATTCATGACATAATGGAAAAAACCGTGATAAAATATCCTCTAAACTATGAATATTCTGAAAACTGTGATTTTCAAAAAAAATTTACACATACCTGGAAATAAAAACACACAAAATCCTAATAGCAAGTGTTTCTGAGTATCTGAAGTATGTACTATTCAGAAGTGCCTTTATTGTTACTTTTTTCTTTTTCGACTAATAAGCATTTACTATTTTAGAATTAACAATAATAAATAACAACACACTTATGATATCACACTCATATACATCTTTTATTTATTTTTAATTGCCTTAGACACGAATTGCCAACTTCTAGTCCTAATGGTGGGATAGCTGTGGCATGGGATTTGCTTTCCTGACTGCTCTTTTTTGGAGCCCAGCTATAGTCACAGAAGTTTTTTCCCTCACATATAGGAATCTTTCCCTTAGGGCTCTGTGGTCTCTGGGGTCTCCGAAGCCCAGTTTCACACTGAGACTCTCGAGCATATGAGATTATGCCTGTTTCCTGTGGGAACTCGGCTGGACTAAGCACTTCTGATCCAAACTCTATAAGCTGAAGCCAGGGTCCTGCCATCACATGCATTCCTGGGCCCTCTCCCTGGCATGAACACCTTTCACATCACTTCTCCTCAGGAGCTATATTGTGGGTAAGAGATTTCTGCCTTCCAGACATTATTGTGTGACAAAGCCTTGTCTTGTTCTAGCCAGTTTGTGTCATCATAAGGATCAAAGACACTGACTTGCAGAAAATGTTGTTGGTGATTTCTTAGTCTGAGAAAATTAGGAAGAGTATGTTCATTCCACATTCAAAGCAGAGATAGTACTTGTAAGGGATATGTGTTCTTGGTGGACAAGGTACAGGTTAGATGCCCTCAAAATCTCCTTTAGAATTTAAGGAACTCCTCTCGTTATATTTATTCTTCTTCTTTTTTTTAATATGTGCTGTAATGCCAGGGTCAGAGAAGTGGACAGTAAGAACTTTACTGTCTCTTAAATCAGGAAAAAACAAATAGCTACAAACTTTTCCCTTCAAGTCACTAGCCCATCCTTTCCCAGTCCCTCCCTTTTCTTAAGTTGGGTCATACAACTTGGAGTCAGTCAATACAACTCCAATTTGTTGAGTATTCTTTTTTTAAGCTGGGTACTGTCCTTTTTCATGGGATAAAATAGGTGGCAGATTTGGCCCATAGACTAAAAGAGCTCACAGGTCAGTAAGGAGACAGGATAAATATAAATTGTTTGAGCACTGGTGCCCAAGTTATCATCATCATAAAAATGGAGAAAATGTGAAGGTAGCAAGGAGGAAGAAAGGTGAATTTCAAATAATAATTCTGGTTTGGTTTAAGAGAGATGGGGTTGTGCCTCACCAGTATTTAGTGTAGACAGCACAAAATTCTGTATCTTTGGCAAGCTATTGAACAAAGAGTCTTGATTAGATAGTGATTAGATACTATTTAATTAGCAGATGCATTATAAGAGTGTGATTAAATTCACCAGTTAATTCAAATATTAAGCAAATATATTAAACAGGTAAATATAGACAATCAAATAGTACTACTATTACTTTTTTTTGTCTAGTCGTGTGGATAAATATTGGAGTTGATATGCAAATCTGCTATTTATGTGCAAGGTAAACCTAAAAACACCAGAGTAGAGATGGAGAAAGTCCTTCTGCTAAGTGCCAAAGGATACATTGCCTGGCACAGATACAGTCGATAATATATATATATTTTTTAATTTTACAAATGAAATATGTTCAGTTTAATTTGGAGTCCATACACTTGAGACATTCAGATTCAATTACAGCATTTTGTGTCATTAAAAGGTTGATTTGACATTTCTGGGAAAACATTTTAGAGCAACAACAGAAAAGATAAAATAGCATAAGAGAATCTAGAAGTCTCTTTTCTGGATCCAGCTTTATCCTGACATTCCTCTCCAGAGAATCAAGGATAGGTCGTTCAGATGCCTGATAGGATTTTATTCTGTGTACTGGTTCCTGAATTCCTTGAAAAAATACTGTTCCAAGCCATCACTAGAGAAGTATAGCGTGGAAGTTAAAAGGAAGTGAAAAAGTAAGTCTCCTTGGCTTTCCTAACTTCTAAGCAGTTCCTGATTCATCCACATTTTCTGGAGGTTAGGATAAAGTGGTAATTCAAAGGAGCCTGTTTTCTGTTGTAAACAGCCAGAGGCAACCATGGATGCTACATGTATTTTGTGTCAAATGGCTGCCCAGCGTGGGATGAGGAGGCCGCACAGGATGCAACAGTGATAGGATCAATCACTCCACCCTTCACCAGATACTGGAGGCGTGGACATCTACATCAGGTAATGGAACTCATTGTCATCAAGGATGGACAAGCAATTGTGATTGACACAAGGTCGTAAGCTGCAGCATATCTTGATGTGGTATGTTTTGTTATTATTATACCTCAAATGCGTGCCTACATTCTGTTGCCTTTTTTAATTCCCCAGAACCACAAGCAAGAATAAAGAAGTCGGGTAGGCTCAGGGTGAGTCCGCATAGTATTTGTAACCAAATTACCTTCTCCTTTGAAAGAAAAAAATATAAATCATCCCACACAACTTTCTTACTATTTACCTTCACAATGACTGCAATGCTGGACAAGGAAGAAATTTTAAGAAGCAGGAGCATTAGAGGTCACATGCTAGAAACATGAAGCCTCATCTTGCTACAGGGAAAACAAAGAAATAGGAAAACAAATACAAAATCAAACAAATGAGAAAATAAATCACTGAACTACTACATGTTAGTCCACAACTTCTGCATTAATTCTGTTTATAAGGGATTTGCTTTAATGGAGCATATGTGAAAGTCTGATCTAAGGAAACCTATGTTTCATTCTGAGTTAATCACTAATAGCCTTGATTAAGCAAGTTAAACATCCTGTATCTAAATCAGGGTGTTTAACGGCAATAGCTCATTCTGGACTCTGGAAACCACAGTCTTCTTCAAAGAAAGTAACATCCTATCTCAGTGTTACTAAGATAAGCATCAGGCATTTAAGTCTTTAATCTATTTTAAGTTGATTTTTGTATGTGGTATGAGATAAGGGTCTAATTTTTTTCTTCTGAGTGTGGATATTCAGTTTTCCCAACACCATTTATTGAAGACACTGTCTTTCCTGATTGTGTGTTCTTGGCACCTTTGCTGAAAATTTTTTGGCTGTAGATATATGGGCTTTTTTCTGGGCTTTCTTTTCTGTTTCATCTTTCAGTCTTGGTATGTTACTGAGTCAAATAATCCATTTTTTCTACATTATTCAATTTATTGGTGTATAATTGTTCATAGTAGTCTCTTATGAACCTTTGTATGTCTGTTGTATCAGTTGTAATGTCTCCTTTTTCATTTTCATTTTATTTATTTGAGTTTTCTCTTTTTTCCCCCCTCAGTTAATCTAGCTAAATGTTTGTTAATTTTCATTTTGTGTTTTCAGGAAAGTTACTCTTATTTTTGTCAATCTTTTCTATTATTTTTCTAGTCTCTAATTTACTTCAGCTATAATATTCTTTACTTTGCAGAGATATTTGCAAATAAATGAAAGAAATTGAGAAAAGTCAACATAGACTTTAAGTATATGTATCTGGGGGGGATTAGCAAGTATTTAAACCCGAAATGCTAAACTACATTGACTATATAATGCATTGTTTAAGCCAGGATACTTATAAGTGGTTAGAAAATGGAAAGAAATAAAACAGGAAAGAAAAGATAAGACCTAAATTTCCTTTTATTAAATGTCATACCAAGGAATTTGAGCCCTGTTCTCAAAGTAATGGGAAGACATTGAAGATTATTAAGCAGTGGATTAAAACATCTTCAAAATTGTACTACAGGAAAAATTTCACTTATGAAATACTAAAGAGGCAATGCCAAGAAATAAATGGATGTGGCTAGGTGGTCTTTACGCTGAAAGTGGTGTTAGAAAGAAAGAGCTGATATAAGAAATTTTCTGATTTAAAAGTTTTTTTTCTGAAGATAGACTACAGAAAATAGATATGTTGATGTGACCTGGGTGGAGTAACAATTTGGACCCTTTGAGCTGTAAATGAATTATATCCAAGATGAGGTGGAGAAATACCAGGGAAGATCATAAATACACTAGTTTAGGTATTGTAGTAGATAATGACACCATTATCCAAAAGACAGAACTTAGAGGTAAAGTCTATTTTGGGCACAGGTAGAGATTAAAGCAATAAGTGTAGTCTTAGACATAATAAATGTAAAATTTTATGGATATTTCTGATGAAAATAGTCGTCATGCATTTAGAAGGACTCAACAGCTGTGGCATAACTTATTTATACAAGTAATTATCTGAAAATTATCTTCATGTTGGTTATACTTGAGGTCATAAGAGTAAAAACATTTCCCAAAAAGAGAATAAAGTGAGAGTCTAGATAATATGCTTCTTGAGAATTATATAAAAAGAGAAGATATGGAAAGAAAATAGATAATCTCAATGACATTGAAGGATTATAGGGTACTTGAGAAAAAGAGGTTTCTTTCTTCTTCCTTCTTGTAACCATCAAATCAGATTGACATTTATGGTCATTAGTCCTGTATTTTATATCCATTTTGAATCTATACCTGCATTTTGAATAATCAGCATATCTAATCCATCAGAATATTAACCTAAGAGTAAATAAATTTCTGATTATTTTTCAGAACTCTTTGAGGTAGGTATCACCTGCTTCCCATTTAAGATGAGCAACTGAGGCTTGGAGAGTGACATAAAGCTTATCAAGTCACACAGTTAGTATAGAAAAAACTGAAATATGAATAATGTGCTATTTGGTAGAAATAACCATAATCTTCCTATTGTGTATTGGCACACAACATTAATTTACTGAAGAAATTTTGGACCGTGCTTCACATGCTGTCATAGGATATGTCCTCTGTGAAGCCGGGATGCACAGTAAAAAGACTGCATGAATGTTGAAGTCATATATGAATACTGTTTCTGTTCCTGAATCTAGTTGTGTGACATTTAATATTATTCAATCTTTCTGCGCCCCAGTTTCTACTTTTATTTTGTGGTAAAAAAAATACAACTTTTTACTTATGGCTATGGAATTACATTTAGACTGTTTATGAAACTTTTAAAATGTTATCTGGAATACAGTATTATTCAATACATTGTATATTTTCATAGTCACTTATGTATAATTGTTGGTGCCATTATAAACTTAATTTTATTCTAAATTTGAATTTGTATTTGCAAGGAAAATTTGAATGAAATTTGTTTCATAATTCCTTCTCTTCAGGATGAAACTTCTGGAAAAATAGAATGCCTCTATTTAATTCATTATGCTGGTTTCCAACAATTCATGTGACTCCTCCATCTTTTATTCTTAATGGAATACCTGGTCTGGAAAGAGTACATGTATGGATCTCCCTCCCACTCTGCACAATGTACATCATCTTCCTTGTGGGGAATCTTGGTCTTGTGTACCTCATTTATTATGAGGAGTCCTTACATCATCCGATGTATTTTTTTTTTGGCCATGCTCTCTCCCTCATTGACCTCCTTACCTGCACCACCACTCTACCCAATGCACTCTGCATCTTCTGGTTCAGTCTCAAAGAAATTAACTTCAATGCTTGCTTGGCCCAGATGTTCTTTGTTCATGGGTTCACAGGTGTGGAGTCTGGGGTGCTCATGCTCATGGCTCTAGACCGCTATGTAGCCATTTGCTACCCTTTGCGTTATGCTACCACACTCACCAACCCTATCATTGCCAAGGCTGAGCTTGCCACCTTCCTGAGGGGTGTATTGCTGATGATTCCTTTCCCATTCTTGGTTAAGCGTTTGCCTTTCTGCCAAAGCAATATTATCTCCCATACGTACTGCGACCACATGTCTGTAGTAAAGCTATCTTGTGCCAGCATCAAGGTCAATGTAATCTATGGTCTAATGGTTGCTCTCCTGATTGGAGTGTTTGACATTTGTTGTATATCTTTGTCTTACACTTTGATCCTCAAGGCAGCGATCAGCCTCTCTTCATCAGATGCTCGGCAGAAGGCTTTCAGCACCTGCACTGCCCATATATCTGCCATCATCATCACCTATGTTCCAGCATTCTTCACTTTCTTTGCCCACCGTTTTGGGGGACACACAATTCCCCCTTCTCTTCACATCATTGTGGCTAATCTTTATCTTCTTCTTCCCCCAACTCTAAACCCTATTGTTTATGGAGTAAAGACAAAACAGATACGCAAGAGTGTCATAAAGTTCTTCCAGGGTGATAAGGGTGCAGGTTGATTCAAGGCAACTTAATTCAGATGGAAGAAAGATAAATGAAAAATAACAAAGAATAAACTTACGTGTGATATTTTACATTTATTCATGTGTAGTATCATACATTTTCTCTCTCAGTCTATGTTTTCTGAAACTGTTTTGGGGAAATTTATAGCCCATTCTGGATGTATATCTCAGTGCCTTTCCCTTAATTTTTGTCTATTGCCAGTTTTTAAAAAATGAGTTTAACTCAATTTATTTAAATTGACACATAAAGTTAAATATGTCATATATAACATAATGTTTTAAATATATATAAACCTTACAGAATGGCTAAAACTAGTTCAATTCATAGAAGTAAAAAGTAGAATGGTGTTTTTTTAAAAATCACGTGTTATTTTTCTAAATTTTTTAAATTGATACATAATAGTTTTACACATTTGGGAGGTGCAAATGATATTTTGATACATGCATAAAATGTGTAATAATTCAATCAAGGTAATTAGAATATCCATCACCTCAAACATTTATCTTTTCTTTTTATTGGAAACATTCAAATTCTCTTTGAGCCATGTTGAAACACGTAATAAATTATTGTTAACTACAGTTATCCACTGTACTATTGAACACTATGTCTTATTCTTTTTAACTGTATTTTAGTACCTATTAATTAACCTCTTTTCATCCTCTCTTCCTCCCACCATTCCCAGCATCTGGTAACCACCAGTCTACTCTCTATCTCCTTGAGATCCACCTTTTTAGCTCCCACATATAAATGAGAACAACAATATATATCCAAAAAAAGAAAAACAATATGTTGAAGAGATACCAGATACCTGCACTCCCATGTTTGTTGCAACATTGTTCACAATAGCCAAGACATGAAATCAACCTGTGTCCATCAACAGAGAAGTGGATAAAGAAAATGTGGCATCATAAAAAATGATGAAATTCTGTAATTTGCAGCATCATGGATGAAGCTGGAAATTAGCATGTTAAATGAAATAAGCCAGCCACAGAAAGACAAAAGTTACATTGCCCGTTTTAATCAAGTCGTTGGTATGAATTCACACAACTTTTATCTAATATATTCATCTTGGATATATTCTTAAACTTTGAAAGAGTCCTTAAGTGTCTTGTCTATGTTGATAATCTTTCCTATAGAACATTTTCCAGCCCAGTCAGTCTTTGAAGCTAAAATTAGGTTTATGAATTAATTTTGAGAAATATTTTTATGTATATATTAGAATGGACAGACAAGTCTTATTTACCTCAAGGCTTGCGTACACCAGAAGTCAGTGCAGGAGCTAGTTGGTATATGGTATGGCTTTCCCAGTTAAATGTCAACCAATTGGTGAAATGATTGATTAAATCATTGATTCACTGATTCATTCATTCATGCTTCATTTGTTAGTTATTTCATTTCCCATATTTCTGAATATTTTTATCAACTCAGCTAAATCTTAAAATAGAACTTATCATTACCTCTTCCTGGTTGTCACACACACTATATTATCACAACACTCTTATAATAAGTTTATTTGTTTACACATCTGTTCATTGTATACTACAACATGTTGTATTTGAAAGCACTAGGTATGTATTTGTCTTTGTATTTCAGGCTCTGACAAAATGCAACTCAAAGGTATAAATAAAACAAATATTCATTAAATGACTAGATGAATGAGTCTACATTAGTTAGGCCTTATGTTAGATATTAACCATTAGAAAAATATAAACATTCTCCTTGTTACAAAGAAGCCCACAGTCTAGCTAAGGGGTGAAATATTAATAAAAATGTGTTGAATTCAGTGCTATGCTAATCATCTTAACGGAAAGCAGGGTGATAGAGTCAAATAGTCTATTCAAACTAAAAAAGAAAAGGAGTGATCATGTTAACTGGAACATTTTAGTAGGAGATGAATAAAAGAGTAAATGAAAATTTAATCTCTCAAGTAAACATATACATTCAATTAAACTATAGTTTAGAGGAGCTTTATAAGAGAGTTTGCACAAGTGCTGAAACAGCACAGAAAATGATCCTCTAACCTTGAGAGAGTAAGAGAGTCACAGAGAGATGGTATTTAAACCAGAATATAAATCATGAAAAAAAAACCCTATTTACTAGGGAGACAAAGAGTTCTGTTTTTTTCTTCACCAAGGCTATTTCTTGCCTGGTGGTATAATTCCTTCCAGCTAAATGTATTCCATTTATAAAAACCTTTATAATGAAATATTTATGTACCTATTATCTTAAAAATTTTGTAAATCAGCAAATATAACAGAAGAGGTATTAAAAGCAGGTACATATTTGCTCATGGTTGAATAAAAGATTATGCTGGGCTGGGCACAGTGGCTCATGCCTGTAATCCCAGCACTTTGGGAGGGCGAGGCAGGTGGATCACCTGAGGTCAGGAGTTCGAGACCAGCCTGACCAACATGATGAAACCCCGTCTCTACTAAAAATACAAAAACTTAGCTGGGCATGGTGGTGGGCGCCTGCAATCCCAGTTACTTGGGAGGCTTAAGCAGGAGAATTGCTTGAATCCAGGAAGTGGAGGTTGCAGTGAGCCAAGATTGTGACACCACACTCCAGCCTAGGCAACAAGAGTGAAACTCCTTCTCAAAAAAAAAAAAAAAAGAAAAAGAATTATGCTGATAATATACAGGTAAAAATAGCATTCATGGATTTATTGAAAATGGCCTTTAGTAAATGTCATATTGTAAAACGGTCTGCAGGCCAATTTACTCAGGGAATAAGGAATACATATAATATACATGTTAGGCCTCAAAAATAATAAATGCAGAATATGACTCAAAACACATACTGTTTTTAAATATTGATTTATTTTTGATCAGTCATTTACTAATTTTATGACATTTTCTCTATTGAATAAAATAGCCTATTAAGAATATTCATACCTTAATACATAAAGCTCACAACTACCGGATGTGTAAAAAAGTCTTGAATATACTTTCTCCACTATAATCTCTAAGTTGTATATCTCTTTCCTGGCTCACTGCTCATTAGTGATTTATCACCTGTTCCCTCCACTTTTACCTCTGGAATATCTAATGCAACAGTTGTTGAGGTGTTATCCATGGATTGTTGAGGGCTTCATGTTCATTTGTGTAGACATATGAAGTCACAACAATTTTCATAGTAATACTAAGGCATTATTTGCCTTTTTCAGTTTCATTCTCTTACTAATATATAAAAAATACACCAATATATTTACACGATTTATGTAACCACTTTCCTATTCTTAGACATCTGTGGATTTTTATTTTACAAGAAGTGATGCAACAAATATATATGTAGAGAACATTTTAAATACAACTTTTTCTTTTTTGTGATAGAAGCTACATAACATAAAATTAACCTTTCTAACCATTTTAAAAATATACAGTTGACACTTAGGTTGCTTCCAAATCTTAGCTGTTGTAAACGGTGCTGCAACAAACATAAGAGTGCAGATATCCCTTCAATATATACTGATTTCCTTTCTTTTGATCATCAATAGATGAATGGATAAATAAAATAAAATGTGTTACATATGCACAGTGGGATACTATTCTACCATAAAAAAAAAGTGATACTGTCATTTGCAACAACATAGATGGAACTGGAGATCATTATGTTAAGTGATGTAAGCCCGGCACAGAAAGACAAACATCTCATATTCTTACTTATTAGTGGGATCTAAAATCAAAGCAATTGAACTCATGGACACAGTAGAAGGACGGTTACCAGAGGCTGGCAAGTGTAGTGAAGGTCTGGGCATGGGAGGTGGAGACAGTACAAAAAATAGTTAGAAAGAATGAATTAAAAAATAGAAAGAATGGGTACAAAAATAGAAAGAATGAATAAAAGTTACTATTTGATAGCACAACACAGTGACTATTATCAATAATAATTGTACATTTTTTAATAACTTAAATAGTGAATTGGATTGTCACTCAAAGGATAAATACTTGAAGGAATGGATACCCCATTCTCCATGATGTGCTTATCTCACACTGCATGTCTAGAGCAAAACATCTCATTTATCAAATAATAAATACCTACTATGCATCCACAAAATTTAAAAATAATAAAATTAAGTGTACAATTGAGTGGCTTTAAATATGGTTACAATGCTGTGCAACCATCACCTGTATGTAAGCCCAGAATACTTTCATCATCTCAAAAGGAAACTCCGTAACCATTAGTCAGTCTGTCCTTATCATCCTGTCCCCCTTGGCTCTGACAGCAATTCATTTGCTTTCTGTTTCTATGGACTATTGTAGGTATTCATATAAATGGAATCACACAAGAGATGGGCAACTGAGTCTAACTTTTTCACTTAATATGTTTTCAATAGTTATATATGTTGCAACATGTACCATACTTCACTTCTTCTGGTGACAGAATAATAATTCCATAATAATTCCTTTTATGGGTATACTTTATTTTGCTTATCCTTTCAGCAATCGATGGATATATACGTCATTTCTACTTTTTGATTAATAATGTTGTAAAAAATATTCCTGGAAAAATCCTAGGGAAAACAAAGGATAACCCCAAAAGGTAAAATAAATAAATAAGTAAATAAGGTGGCAAACCAAACAAATATTTTGGTTTGGGAGGTAAAGGTTAATTATTTAATCTCTACCACAAGTTGATCCTATTTCACAGGGCTAGGATATATATATATATATAAAATATATATATATAAAATATATTTATATACACACACATATACATACATACACATACATACATACATATGCAATAAAAAAGTACAAAGGCAAAACTATATACAATATATGCACAAAGAGTTTCATAGAAATAGAAACTAAACATACTAAAAACCTTCCCCAAAATTTTTTGAGGAAATATTAAAGTCAAAGTAGAAACCAAAGAAAGTAAGTACTGGGTAGAGACAACTTTCGATAAACAATAGATGAAATGCATGACACCATGCAATTAAAGCTGATTGCAGCACTGTTCAGAATAGCCAAGATTTGGAAGCAACCTGTGTCCATCAACAGATGAATGGATAAAGAAAATTTGGTACATATACACGGTGGAGTACTATTCAGCCACAGTAAAGAATGAGATCCTGTCATTTGCAACAACAGGGATGGAACTGGAGATTATTATGTGAAGTAAAATACCATAATAATTATGTTCAGGCAAGAAAGACAAACATCACATGTTCTCACTTATTTGTGGTATCTAAAAACCAAAACAATTGAACTCATGATCATAGAGAATAGAAGGATAATTACTAGAGGCCGGGAAGGGTAGTGGGTTGGGGTGGGAGCTGGCGGGGAAGGTGGTGATGGTTAATGAGTACAAAAAAAAAAGTTATAAAGAATGAATAAGACCTAGTATTTGATAGCACAACAGGGTGACTATAGTCAATAATAACTTAATTGTACATTTAAGAATGAGTAGTATAATTAGATTGTTTGTAACACCAAAGATAAATGCTTGTAGGAATGGATAACCCATCCTCCATGATGTGATTATTATGCATTGCATGCCTGTATAAAAACATCTCATATACCCCATAAATATATACATGTAATATGTACCCACAAAAAATTGAAAATTAAAAAAAAATCAAACTGATTGAACCAAATTGTTTCATTTTCCTGTCTGACACAGTTTCCCTCAAGCAAAATAATGGAAAACACTGAAGTTATTTTTCTCACATTATTAGTACACAATGAAAATTTTAAAATGGGGAATCCACTTACATTAACACAACTTCTTGGCTGATCTTCAATTTTCGACTTAGCAACACTGGTATGGATTTACACAAATAATTTCAAGGCTAAGAAAAGCTTTGTAATTAGTATTCTGGTTATAAGAAAAATATGTGCTTACAAAATGAGAAAGTGTTTCCTTGTATAACAAAATTATCAATTTTCTTTCTGTGAAGCTTGTAAATTTGTTCTTCATGTTTGTGTATTCTATTTTTCAAATTTCCTTTACAATTTATTATTAAAGAAACTAAATTAATAATTTATACACATACATACATAATTGTATAGATTACTGTGAAAATAAGCTAGATTTTCTAATGTAGTTTGATAAATATTTGACTAATATATGCCAAGTTCTCATAAATATTTGAAAAATATTGAATTATTGCTTGCTTTTCCTGATCGATTCATTTAAGCAGTCAACTCTTAACTCTATATGTCTGTAACAGAAGCAAGTAGAGAAATTAGAGAACGTAAAGATACCTCTAGGTTGAAAATAAAAAATATATCTTTAGGATGAGTTATGCTGTCTTTATCTCACATTGCATATTTATCTTATGTTACATATATAATATCTCACATTATATATTTAATATATATTACATTATATCTCATATATTTAATATACCTTATATTAATATATATTAAAACTGTAACTATAAAAGGGAAACACATAAATATCCTATTTATGTCTCTTGTGTTTCCTTTTTATATAGTTTTAATTACTAAAACTGGCTTTATTGTTACATGAGAAGTTTAGTTCTCATCTCAATTACATTTATAAGCATCTCAGTTAAAGATCTTGCTGATACAAAATAATATAGCACTAAGCACAAGTTATATAATACTTTCTCCAAAACAAATTAAAAACGCTTTTTTTAAAGTTAGCAAAAATTTATTTTACTTTGTTAATTCTCTCTTCTTTTAATACAGCAGCTACATTTTAATTTTATCTTACATGCCGCTTTCTGTATTTCTCTAATTTGTGCTTCCCGAGAGTCAAAGGGAAAGAGATTTCGATTGAGAAAGATGTCTGTTTGAACTGTACTATAAATTGCCTCTGAGAATGATATTTATACTTGCTGGAAACTCAGCTGGGCAATGTGACTGCTGTGGCAATGTAAATTTACACAAATCTATCTAATTGCTGGTGATGAAAGAAAGATAATTCAGCTTTATATTTTATGAAAAAGGGAAATTATAATACCTTCTAGTCCCCAATACGCTGAGTTCCCGATTATCAGGATTTGAAGCTGAGGGCCACAACTTTTTTTAAAAAGTGATGAGTCTCATCAAGAAATATAAGCTTATAAAATGCTTTTAATACTATATTACTTTATAATTCTGCAAGAATAATAGATTTGTATTATGCTGTGAGTGAGTAGGTCTATTAAGTGATAACATTAAAAACAAATACCACCATTTATAAAGTATGATTTTGATATCATCGGTTGTGCATTTTCACCCCAAACTCTGTAAATAGTAACTTTGTTTCCTCACTTGACCATGCTCAGTCTTTACAGACCATGCTCTTTTCTCAAAATGACTGTAGGTTCATCCAAGTATGTTTGCTGTCCAAAATCAATGAAACACAGTCACAACTATGTCTGTCTAGGAATAAAGCCAGTTAATTAGATTCTTATTCTAAGGAACAAGAGGAGGGCAGGTAAGAACTTGATTATGGAAGAATTCTGACCATAATCAAGAACTGTTTTCTATTTTTTCTCCATGTTGTCGGGTGGTTCATACCTGACTTTCATCATTTCCAATGATTCCTGTTTGCTTTGTTTATAAATATTCAAAATCATCATAAAAATTTCGCTGAATGAAAACCTGAAAATTGGGGAAATAAACATTCTGCAAAACAAATGTCTGCAACACTTCTACCTTCAAACTAAGTGGATGAAATCAAGTCTGAATTTCTGAGAATAATAATAGTATACACTCAAAGATTCTGTACACTTTGGCAAAACATCTCTCCAATTTATCTACTATGAACTACAACAAGAAAAATCCTGTCACTACCCCTGTCTCCTTTTTATGTCCTTTAATACCTAATTTCCAGATGCCAATAGAATGAGCTGAATGCAGTTTGGCCCAGATGTTCAGAATCTTGGTCAAAGAACACATGAGAATCCTACAATATATGTACATGTACTCCCCCCAACATTAAAATCCCTTGATACCTTTACTACTGATATGAGCCTTTAAAGAAAATTATGTGTTATATGTCCCAAGGGGATATTTCATATAATTAGGGTCACAGTGTTGGAATTAAGACAACGCTCACAGGAGATGAAAGGGTGGAAACACTCCATGCTCATCACCTATATGATGCCTCATAAGTAACTAGTGAATACTTTCCTATGAATGTATCTGTACATGTGCTTATGTGTGGCCATGTATATGTGGGGGGAAGCGAGAAAGAACACAGGATGTTTTTATTTTAAAAATTATGTTATTAATAAGATTGCAGAGTTGTTTCTTTTTGCTTAAGGCCTTGTGGCATACAAATTGGAAGCAAGCACAGAATGTGTTAATTGCTCACACAGACAACTTTGCATCTTCCTTTTTTTATGTTTTCATGTATTAAGTAACATCATTGAGTGCTTCATACTCTCAGAGTTAGTCTAGGAACTTTGAAAAAAGCATCAGAAAACATGGGCCTTGGTTTTCAAGCAATTTATTTCCAAGGAAGATTGGTGATGAATATTATGGAATTGTAAAAATTAATCAAAAGTTCAGACTTATTACATATAAATATTAAACTAGCAATAAATAGATGCCTTAATTTTGAGATAATAATAGTGATGCAAATAAACGCAATAATAAAAGACAATAATTAATCTAATTTTATGTATTTTTATTTAGAAGAAAAATGTTTGTTTTTATTAAGTGTAAAAATAAAAATGAGGACATCACAGAGATAATTAGAACCTAATTCTATAATGTAGAGGTAACTTCTGATACTTTTTCTTTTATATACAATTTCTATATATACTTTTGACAAACGTTTGGATAACATCAAATTTTAAACAAAAATTCTATCATTTTCAGTTAATGTTTATATTAAGCACATTCAAAAAAGGATTGTTCAGTATTATGATTAAATAAAGGCACATTATGTGTTTTACACACTTCCTTAAGTATTTTCCTGTTCTCAGACATCTATGTTCTTTTAATTTACAGAAAGTTATATAACAAATATACATGTAGAGAATAATTTTTGCAGTTTTTTATATTGTTTTATATTGAATGTAAATTAGTACGACCTCTATGGAAAACAGTACGGAAATATTCAAGAAACTAAAACTAGAACTACCATTCCATCCAGCAATGCCAATCCTAGGTATCTACCCAAAAGAAGATAATTGCATTTAAAATAATTACACTTAAAAATATTGGCACTAGTATGTTTATCACAGGGAAAGATACGGAATCAACCTGTGTCCATCAACAGATGACTGGATAAAAAAAATGTGGTATGATATACAATGGAATACTCCTCAGTCAAGAAAACAAATGAAATAATGTTTTTTGCAGCAACGTGCATAGATTATGAGGCCATTATTTTAAGTGAAATATCTCAGAAACAGAAAAGCAAATACCACATGTTCTCACTTTTAAGTGGGAACTACCTAATGTGTACACATAGGCATAGAGTGTGAAATAGATAAATATTGGAGATTTGGGGGATGGGCAGATGGAAGGGGAATGAGGAATGAGAAATTCCTTAGTAGGTACAATATACACTATGCTGGTGGTACCCACTATGGTGGGTACACTACAAGCCCAGACTTCACCACAGCCAGGCTATACATGGATATACATCCATGTATCAAAAAGCAGTTGTACCCCTTAATTTTATATAAAATGAAAAAAGAAAACGTACAATTGGGTGACTTTCACTACATTCATTATGCTGTGCAACCATTGCCACTATCTAATTTCACAATATTTCCATTACCTCAAAAGGAAACTTCATAACTATTAGTTAGTCTCTCATTATTGCCTGGAGTCTCCATTCCCTACTAACAACTAATTTGCTTTTTTTTTCTATAGACTTAACCTATTCTGGATATTCATACAAATGGAATCAGATACTAGGTGGCCTTTTGTGTTTGGCTTTCTTCACTAACCTAAGCATAATGTTTTCAAAGTTCATGTATGCTGCAGATTGTACGAGTACTTCATTTACTTTTGTTTGTTTGTTGTTGGGAGAATTTATTCTTTTTATATTTTTCCTCTTTACTATACAAAATTTTCCATGTCATTTTGTTAAATTTAGCAATTTTTAATTCAATCAAGTTGAATTTTTGTAAGATAAGTTTTATTCTATATATATTTGAGATTTACAGCATGAAATTATGGGATAGAGACAGCAAAATAATTATTATAGTGAAGCTGATTAGTATATCTATCATCTCATATAGGTACTTTTTATTAAATAATAATTCCTAGTATAGATACACTTAATTTTGTTTATCCATTCAGTAGCTGCTATGGTGTGGATAGGGTTTGCTTGTCTCCACCAAAAATCAGGTTGAAATTTGATCCCCACTGTAGTGGTATTGGGAAGTGGGGCCCAGTAAGAGATGTTTGGGTCCTGGGGATGGATTCCTCATGAATGACTTGGTGCTATTCTTGTGGCAGTTACTGAGTTTTCTCTGTTACATAACTGGATCAGTTCTCTGGGAGATGGATTTGTCATGACAGTGAGTTGTTATAAAGCTGGGAAGCCCGTTGGGTTTTGTCTCTTTGCACATGTCTGTTTTCCCTTTGACCTTGTCTGCCATGTTATGAGGCAACACCAAAGTCCTCAGATGAAGCCAGGGACATGTCCTTGAAGTACCCTGCCTGCAGAACTATGAGCTAAATAAACCTATATTTCTAACTCAGTATTAGGTATTCTGTTGTAACAACACAAAACAGAACAAGACACAGCTTATAGATATACAGGTTGTTTCTACTTTTTGGCTAATAATGCTACTGTAAACATTTGTGTACAGGTTTTTGTATTAACATTTTTTTCAATTATGTTGGGTGTATTATTAAAAGTTGGGTCCTGGGTCATATGTTAATGGCACTGAAGTTTCTTAGTAATTGCCAAACTCTTCCACAGCCACTGTGCCATTTTTACTTCCCAACAATGTATTGAGATTTCAGTGTATCCATATACTTGCAAACACTAATCTCTTATTGCAAAAAAATAAATTTGCAGTACATTTATATGTATAATATGGGGGTAAAGGGGTGTGTTATTGTGGTGTTGTATAATATAGGGGGTAAAGGGGTGTGTTATTGTGGTTTTGATTGAATTTGCCTAATGATTAATGACTAGTTATGTTGAGCATCTTTTCATGTATTTTTTGGACATTTGCATATAATCTTAGAGAAATGTCTATTCAAGTCCTTTGCAAATTAAAAATATAAGACACATAATAAAGCAAATCATGAAAATGCAGAAGTATCTCCTATTTTATCAATTATTACATCAAATGTAAAATATTAAGCTCTTCAATTAAAAGGAATAGATTGACACAATATCTGCTCTAACTACTTCTATTCAACACTGTCTGGAAGTTTTAGCTAAGACAAGTGGGTAAGAACATGAAATGTAGATTACATTAGTCTTTTCTTTGAATTCCTTGAGACAAATAGCATCACTGTTACCCTTTGTGATGAAGATTTTTGCTTGACTCCCAAATATTTCAAATATTACTTCTATCTCCTTTGTTCTAAAGTGTCAGTTGTTGCCACCAATTCATTATGCTATTTCTTTGTTGTTCTGCCATTTGCAGCAGTTGGAGAATATGATATAAAAACATGTGAAGAAAATTTTCAAAAAATGAATATCTTTTCCATATCAGGTGCCCTTCACTCCAGTCTAAGTACCTTGTATAAGCCTTGCCTGAGTTCCTTGTTCTTGAGTGCATATACCATGGGGTTCAGGGCAGGGGGAATGACATTGTGTAGCACATTAAGTAGAACTGGAATAAGGGGAACTCTCATTCCTGTACTACGAGTAATGGAAATCACAATGATGACTGTGTAGAAGAAAAGGATTAAGATGAGGTGGGAGGTGCAGGTACTTAAGGCCTTGGATGCAGCTTCTGGAGAGTTCAGCTTCAGGACAGAGTAAAGTATTAGAGCATATGATAAAATAATCAAACCCAGGTCACTTCCCATGAGTGTCCAAGCCAAAAGGACCTGGTTAATGCTATTGATTCTTCGATCATCACAAGATAGGCTAGTGACTCCAAGGTTAGAACAAAGACAGTGCTCAATTTGATTCTGGGAGCAGTAATGCCTCTGGGCAGCCAACAGAGGCACTGAGATGAGACACAGGCTGTTTCTCAGTGCCATGAACCCGTTTGCTTTGAAAACAAAAGATTCAGTGATGATTGATGGATATCGTAGCGGTCGACAAATGGCTACATATCTATCAATAGCCATGCAGACAAAGGTACTTGATTCCATGGCCACAAAGCAATGTATGGCATACATCTGAGCAAAGCACTCCAGGAGACTGATGGTCTTAGCATTGAACCATAAGATGGCCAAAATCTTAGGCATGATGGTGGTAGCCAGGCCTATGTCTGCCATAGCCAAGATGCCCAGGAAATAGTACATAGGCTGGTGCAGTGCTGCCTCTTTGTTGATGATGATCAGGATAAGGATGTTGGCACTGAGAGCTAAGAGGTAGAGCAGAGCCAGGGGCAGGGAGAGCCAGTGCTGCCAACTGTGAATGCCAGGGAATCCCATCAGGATAAACTCAGAGACCTGGAACTTAGAGCTGTTGGAATCTCTGAGCTCCTGGAGCACCACTAAGGGGAAAAATATTTGATATTAGTATTTCTAATAATCTCTATGGAAGTATTGAGAAAATAATTACCTAGCATCATGATATTGAGGTGTGACTCAGCCTCGTTAATCTCATGTTGTCACTTACATCTATTGGACATGTATTATCCTATGTGATATTAGGTACATTCTCTGTGATAACTCAGTTAATCATCTGTAATACTCTATAAGGTAGGTCATATTTTTTCCATTTTCTCATATCTAAGGTATACGACATTATAAAATCAGGACCTTGTTTAAGAGCTTCCTTACAGTAAGTCACAGGAGCAGGACAAGTTGAAAGTGATCTGGTATTGCAGCCCGGTTTCCTAAGTTTGTCTTTGTTAACGAGTTGGTTTCTTTAGAGACCTAATGTATAAACTCAGAGTAGTGGTTTTTTATGCATGGAGGCCTTTTAGGTAAGATATTTGATGATAGAGTATATAGAAGTGAACTATTTTTTGTTCACGTACTTAAACATTTATGAAGTATTGATGTATATTATTTACTTTTTATTAAAATGTATGAGCTAAGTTAGTATACCCATTTTATAGTCATGTAATTGATGTGTAAGCATTCTAATAACGTGTATAAATTCATGCAAATATGAAAGAGTTTAATGTGGTTTGGAAATACCAGTGTTCTGTAAATTCAGTTGGTTGTAGTTTTGTGTTACTTATTTCTACTTGCGTATATTTTTGGTTTTTGGAGTATTCTAATGGCCATATGGCCATGATGACTGGCGTAGAAGTTAAAAACATGCACGCACATGCACACACAAACATAGACATGCACGCAAATCAGTGATTTTGAGAGCAATGCTTTGGCATAAGGCCTCCTAATATCTAATCTCTCTGTATCTGACACCTCCTTTCTATATTCTTTTGTTAATATTTGAATTAAAATATTCAGAACAAATTTTCATGAAATGTTTTACTTGTGCTACTCTGCACTATTTATTTCTTCTTTCCTTTTAAGTATTTAAAATATTAAGGATACAATATAAAGGCAAAAAATTATTTTTAAAATTTGTGCGCTAAAATTATAGAGTCTACAGAGGAGGCAATGTTATGTTGACTTGGTCGATATATTCACTTTAGGTAATAACATCTTATACTACTTGTAACAAAATAAGGTTAATTGATGAAATTGTTTCTACAAATTTTAATGCTTAATTAAAATGTGGCTTGGGGAATACTGTATTGTGTCTAACTGCCCAAAGAAGGAAAAATATATATCAGTGTGTAGGTCATTGAGTTGATATACGTATCTCCCATAGAAACCTAAAGGCGTGGGATATTTGTTATTTATGTCACTGTTTTTCCCCAAGAGACAGACACTTAATAAGCACTCAATTTATATTATGTGAATGAATACTGAAGCAGAAATAAGCAGTTTTATGTCCATGAGTCTTGTATTGTTTATGAGGAGGTTAGGGCTATTGACATATAAGCACGTTAAAAATATAGTGGAGGCCAGGTGCAGTGGCTCACGCCTGTAATCCCAGCACTTTGGGAGGCCAGGCAGGCGGATCAGGAGGTCAAGAGATTGAGACCATCCTGGCCAACATGGTGAAACTCCGTCCCTACTGAAAATACAAAAATTAGCCGGGCATGGTGGCGTGTGCCTGTAGCCCCAGTTACTCAGGAGGCTGAGGTAGGAGAATTGCTTAAACCCAGGAGGCGGAGGTTGCGGTGAGCTGAGATGGTACCACTGCACTCCAGCCTGGGCAACAAGAGTGAAACTCCGTCTCAAAAATAAATTAATAAATAAATATAATGTAATGGAAGGAGACAGGGATTGAAAGGAGAATCATGTTGAAACAATCAAGGGGTAGAAGAGTATAGCGGATATCTCATCAAGACAAGATGAAAACTAAAAATAAAATTATACATATTATAAAACATGAAAGAGGTAATTCATATGCATCTGTAAACATACTGATTCTTATAGATTATAATTGCTAATTAAAAAAGAGACTCAGGTTACATTTTTTAAAACTGTACTATTTTTGAAAGAAACTTTAATACAAAATTTGAAAGCAGAATAAATCGGGTATTCTTAGATAAGAAAACCAATGTAACAATGTCATATATAAAATTAGTAATTCAGTTAAAATAATAATTGTGAAATGATAATAACATTATAATAAACATTAACAGGATAATATAGTATTTGTGACTAGCCTGATCCCAAACACATAACCTAAACTTGAAATTCTAGTAGAAAATGACAAAGTATGGTTATGGTAAAGTATATTTAAATATATTTCTTTAAATAAATACGTAAACAAAAACTGGCAGTGATATAGATTTTTTCTTGAATTATTTGTTTTTGTCTTTTTTTATTAATACATAAATGTACAGATGTTCAGTGTACATGTGATACTTTGATGCTAGGAACATTTAAATTATTCTCTTCCAGCTATTTTGAAATGTACAATAGATTATTGTTAACTTTAGTCAGTCTACTGATCTATCAGATACTAGGTTTTATTCATTCTATATAACTGTATATTTGTACCAAAGGAGTTAAATGTAAATCTCTTGCAAAAAATAAGAGATTACCGATCATAAATACATAAAGAAGATGCATGAATATCAGTGATGCTTTGGGTAATGAGTGAGAAGTAACAAAGAATATCATAAATTTCATAAAACAACATGCAAAATTATCGAAAGCCATAAAAAACAAATGACATTCATATATTTAGAAAAATTTAGCAAGGGCATTAAACGATAAATGAATCAAATATAAAATAGTATTGGACATGGCCTCCAGAGAAAAATTGTTTAAATTGCTAGAGAGTATAGTAAATCAATTATTTTTCTTCAATGAAGTAAGGGTCCACTGTTCAATAGATTAGTAAAGAAAAAAAATACATGTGGCATCTATCTTAGAAAATACAATGATCTAGCTTGAAATACCAGGAAAATTTAAGATAAATCTTTTATAATGAAAAACTGCTTGGAAGAAAACTGTACAATTTATTCTTACAATGGATTATATTTATATATTGATGATTGCTAAACATTAATATTACTTCTTGGCAGGTGTATGTGAGACTCTGTCTTTCCAATTCTAGTATTTCCAATTGAAAGACACACATGTAAATATATTATTCTCACAGTTCAGCAAAAATTCTAATACTTTGGGTGAAAATGAAATTCTGTGTGGCCCTATGAACTTCAACAAAAGTCTTAGCCTCTAGGATTCTTGATTCTATTCTATGAAATATAATAATTCATTTCTAGATTCTGGAGTGTGTTAACAATTCTATTAAAATGCCTAATTAAAATTCTTGCAAGATGGGATAATTAATATTTATGTGGTAAATTTAAATGAGGGCCTTTGATGCCTAATACCATGAAACTGGTACCAGGTATTATGTGTCAGCAAGCTAAGAAAGACATGTGCAGGAATATGCATAAAAACTCAACGGAGCTGGAGAGTTACAGTGTCTAATACAAAAGCTAAATATTGAGCTTGAAAAAATTTTGTGAAGAATTACAAAGCTCCAAAGTATCTAATAAAATAAAATATGCCAAAACAATAAATAAACAAGAAATATCATTCTAAAAATGCTGGTGGTAATATACTTTTATTTTTACATATTAAGACATAGTGGTTATGAAATATCTAACATTTTGTTGTATTAGGTTCCATAAAGTTTTCCAATATTCAGATTAATTTGACATGAAGTGTATTTCATGGTTTCTACACAGTCATTAAAGAAGCATTATGTAGATGCCTCCATCATAGCTGAGGCTTACCCTTCTATATGGCATTCCCAAATCTCCGCGAAGATTAAAAAGACTGACTCTGGCCCCAGCTATGTACTTACTGTGGTGTCCTGTGAAAGACTTGTCATATGTAGTGATCTTCAGTATACCCAGAGCTGGTTTACAGCCACTGAAGATGGACTAGGATATTATGACCAGTGCAGAGAAACTCAGGGACCTGCTTAAGTGGAGGAAAAGTCTATTCCCTAGGGTTGTAAAACCCAATTAGCCTGAAGCAAGTCAAATCTAGGGCGTGGATGTAATTAGGAACAAGTCACATCATTTTGCTAAAAATCTTAATTTGGGTATGGTAGAGCTAGCTTTTATTAAATATAGGCATAAAAGTGTTAAATATCTAAATTTTATGATAATTTTCTCTTTGAGGAAGGCTTTGGGAAAGTTGTTTTTTTTTTTTTTAAGGAAAAGCACAATACAAAACCTCTTCCTACATTTTTAAGTTTTATACATACAGAAATTTCAGAGGGATTTTCTGTCAATTTGTATCTCTAGGACTTGTACAATATTGAGGAAAGCACTCCAAAAATAATTCAGGTAGTGAGATCTAGAGGTCAAATAATATTAAGTAATTGATGAACAACCATAGGATAGAGGCTTAAAATTCTTGCATCCTCTTGTATTCAGTTTAGGTAGTCTGAGCTTCATTACACAAAAGGAAGGGAAGATGAGGTGCTTAGCTCTCTGATAGGTTGTAGAATAGCCTGATTCTCTCTGGGTAACCCTAGAAATAGTTTGCAGAAGAATTCAATTTGTCAACTCCATCCTACCTATCCCCTCTTCTAACCTCACACAAACATATGCAAATAAGAAATCCATATGATTTTATAATATTCCATAGTCTAAGCTTATCAATGCATATGCATAGTGTACACAGCACGCCTTCCCCAACCATGTCACACAATTAACAGAAAACTTTCCCTTAATGCAAGCTAGATTCAGAACTACTTTATCTATTTCATAACAAAAATAGCAAACACTTACATAGTACTTCTTATATGACAGAAATCATTCCTTGTGTCTTACATATTTTAAAAATTATCATTCATAATAACCTCCATTGTGTTAGGCACCAGTATCTTTACATCTTATAGATAAAGGAACTGATGCACATAAATTTTAAGAAACTTGCCTGATATCACACAGTACATGTTATAGCTGAACTTGGAATTCTCACGCTCCCATTGATCCTATCTACACAATTCCGAGGCTTTTTCATATCTCTAAATGAATCAGACAGATGACTGTATTGTGAGAAATTATAAATTTTGTTGATTTTTTTCAGGGAAGCAGCTCCATGCCTTATTGATTTTTTCTATTATTTTTCTGTTTTCAGTTTTATTGATTTCACTCTTATTTTTGTTGTTTTCTTTTTTCTACTTGCTTTGGATTTATAGTCTGATTTTTTCTATACTCTTGAAGTGGTAGCTGAGCTTATTGATCTGAGACTTTTAATTCTCCTAATATAATTATTTAATTGTATGAATTTCCCTCTTGGTAATACTTTCGCAGTGTCCCACACATTTTGATATGTTGAATTGTCATTTTTCTTCAATATAATTTTTTTTTGAGACACAGTCTTACTCTGATGCCCCGGCTGACGTGCAGTGGCATGATCTCGGATCACTGCAAACTCTGCCTCCCGGGTTCAAGGGATTCTCCTGCCTCAGCCTCACAAGTAGCTGGGATTACAGGCATGGGCCACTATGCCCGGCTAATTTTTTTTTTTTTTTAATTTTTAGTAGCGGGTTTCACCATGTCAGTTAGGCTGGTCTCAAACTTCTGACCTCAGGTGATCCACCTGCCTCGGCCTCCCAAAGTGCTGGGATTATAGGCATGGGCCACTGTGACCGGCAATATATTTTTTAAAATATCCCTGACACTTCCTTTTTGACCCAAAGATTATTTAGAAATGTGCTGTTTAGTTTTCTACTGTTTGGAGATTTTCATTACATATATATGCTACCATTATATATATATATTATATATATACTACCATTATATATATATATTATATATATACTACCATTATATATACATATTATATATATAAAATGAATAATATATTTATTTATTTCCAGTTTTACTTCATTTTATGTGGAAAATACACTCTGTATGCTTGAAATTATTTTTAAAAGTTTGGGTTTCTTTCATTGTTCAGTACAATTTAGGGCTATGTTCTGTGAGCACTTGAAAAAAAAAATGTATTCTCCTCTTGTTGAGTAGCATGTTCTAGAAGTGTTTTTCAGATTAGGTTGATTGATTGTGTTATAAGTTCTTATATATCATTGCTAACTTTCTGTATAATTGTTTTTTTTTATTGTTAAGAGAAGTGAGTTAAAGTCTGTCCCTGAAGTTGCAGATTTTATATTCTTACTGTCATACAGAATGTACTGTGGGAATGTACTGTGGGAATGTACCAAAATTCATTTAACCCATCTGATGGTGATGGACATTTAGATATTTCCAGTTTTAAGTTTTATTCTACAAATCATGTTGCAGTAAGCATTCTAATTGATGGGTTCTGGTAATTATATATTTACAGTTTTGTGTGAAATGGACCTGATGGTTATGCGTATCTTTATCATTACAAGATATGCAAAAAATAATTAGTTAAATTTACATACCTGCCAGTAGTATGACAGATATACTACAGAGCAGGTAGAACAATTTTAAAAGAGTAATAAAAAAGAGAAAACAATCTTTCCAATACTCATAGTCTCACCAATTTTTTGCTGTTGATTTTTGGAAGTTCTTTATATGTTTTAGATTTTAATCTTTTATCAGATATATGGTTTGCAAATATTATTTCCCATTCTGTAAGTTGCTCTTTTACTCTGTTGATTGTTTTCTTTGCTGTGCAAAAGCTTTTCAGTTTGATATAGTCCCATTTGCCTATTTTTGCTATTTTTCCTTGTGTTTTTAATGTCCTAACTAAGAAATCATAGCCAAGACCAATGTTATGAAATGTTTCTATTTTGTTTTCTTCTAGGAGTTTTGTGGTTTTAGTTCTTTGGTTTAAGTCTTTGATCCACTTTGAATCTATTTTTGTATGTGGTGTAAGATAAGAGTCCAATTTCATCCTTTTGCATATGGATATTCAGTTTTCCCAAATTCATTTGTTGACAAGAATGTCTTTCCCCATTGTGTTTTCTTGCCACCCTTGTTGAACATCCATTAACCGTATGTGCATGGGTTTATTTCTGAGCTCTCTATTCCATTGGTCTATGTGTCTTAATACTGTGCTGTTTTAATTTATTACACTTATTTATACATACTGTTTTAATTGTTGTCGTTTTATAATATGTTTTTAAATAATGAGGTGTGAGGCCTTCAACTTTGTTCTTTCTTAAGATTGTTTTGGTTATTTATAGTCCTTTGTGGTTCCACATGAATATTAGCACTGCTTTTTTATTTCTATAAAAATTTTCATTGGGAATTAAATAAGGATTGCACTAAGTTCATAGTTACCTCATGCAGTACGAGAATTTTAACACTAGCAAGTCTTCTAAAATGTGAACATAAAATATCTTTCCATTTATTTGCATCTTCTTTAAAAAAAAGTTTTGTAGTTTTCAGTTTATAAGTGTTTGCCTTCTTGGTTAAATTTATTCCAAAGTGTTATATTCTTTTTAATATTATTACTGTAAAAAAGATTGTTTTCTTAATTTCCATTTCACATTGTTCAAGATAGTGTATGGAAGCACAGGTGATTTTTGTGTGTTGTGAAGTTAGTAGATGCAAATTTTTTATCAAAACTGTATCTAGCCAACTTAACAATTTTGAAATAAGTAATATACATTACATTGACAAGTATAAAATATAAATACATGTTCCAAGATATTTAAGATAAATACATCTTAAAGTATTGAGTGAGAAATTAGCAGATTAAGTTGTTTAGCACAATAAAATGTATTTAAATTAAAACACATAAAATCACTGAATAATAACATCTATTTTTAAGGAAACTAAAATATAACAAACGTTATGCCAAAATCACTGGGAGATAAACTGGAGGAGCAGGACATGGAAAATTGGAGTAGACATGGAGAATGCAGGGGGAAAAAGGAGATATTGACCTGTCTAAGAAAGATAGTATGCCATGAAGAATAAGTACGTGGAAAACAGTTCTCTGAACCTTAGCTTCCTTTGGGGAATCATTAGTTTTATAGCCAATACTTAAGACCATGACACTAAAGGAGAACACCTAGGAAGAGAATGTAGAAAACAAATCAAAGTTAAACAAAGTGTATTACATAAATGAAATATGTAGTGTCTCTGAAGTAAATAAAAATGATATAGTGTTTCAAGATATTGGAAATACTGAGTTGAAATCAATATTCCTGAGAGAGTGTGAGATGAGCAAAGAAGGAGGACTATTTAGTTTGTTAACATGGAAAAGCATTGGTGAAGTTGACAATAGCAATTTCAGATAACAACTGGGATAAGAGAAAGACAAACTAGGAGAAGAGTGATGTCAGGTTGAGGAAGTAAAGAGAATACTGATGACTTTTAGCTTTAGGGTAGCAAATATTGAAATAGGGCGATACATGGAGGATAATAATATTTTAGTGGGTACTGCTGTTTGGCCAGCTTGTAAAATGCAACATAGTCAAGAAGGATTCACTAAGTGAATAAATGCAATTTGACGACTATAGTTAACTAAATTTCAGGGAAGTACATGTTTTCTTGTCAGTTGGACACAGAAAAATAACAGTAAAAGTTGAGTTTATATTCCTTATATAATTGGCTTAGTTTATGAGACATTAATATGAAAATACTATGTTCTATAGTTTCTCACTTGTTTTTTAATTTAGATAAATCTTAAATATTAGAAATATATACCTAATTTTCCTTATTAGATTCACAATTAGAGATAAAATGAAACAAGTAGATTTTGATCCCCTTTCATACAGGTCTTAGAAAAAAATTATACTGTTTTTTATTTTTGGTTAAGATCTCTACCTCTCTTTCCAGGCTCTGTGCTTTTTAAAAAGCCCCTTTAAAGAAAACGAAATATCCAATTATTCTGTTGTGAAATAATTATGTGACCTATTCAGCCTAATAATATTTTAGCTAGATGCTTAGAGACTTAAAACTCATTTTAGACTTTATGGCATGCACTCTAGATTCTCCTTCAGGAAAATGTCATTGAAGAAACAGGTTTTTGGTAGTTATGAGAAATATATAGCACATGTTTTCTAGACAAAAGTAATAACTGGCTATTAATCTGAAATATTAATCTGAAAATTGTGATCATTGAAAAGAAGACTCACATCATCTCCTTCTACTTAGATTTGTCTTTTCATAAAAAATGGACTCATTAGGTTTTGTCGAATAAAATATGGTTTAATTATTAGACTGGTCCTTCACATGAGTGAGAAGGTAAAAAATTTATAGAAATGTTGGTGGGCCTTCCAATGATGTTGAGATTCCCAAGGTACTTATTGAGAATGCACCAGTTAACAAACTCCATTTTGTGATCAATACAGTGCTTCCAGAAAGATTTTATGAACTCCTGCATAAGAGGCAAATAGAAGTAATTCTTTCCTTCTCTTCTCACTCCTGGCAAGTGTTCATTCACATGCTGTAGGATTTGGTATCCTTAGAACCTGAAAGGATCCTTATGACACAGTCTCGTATCTGTTTGGTTTTCACCCCATAGACAATAGGGTTCATAGTGGGTGGTAGGAGCAGATAAATATTGGCTACAATGATGTGGCAAGAAGGGGGGATTATGTGTTCCCCAAAGCGGTGGGAAAAGAAGGAGAAGAAAGCTGGAGTATAGGAGAAAACAATGGCACAAATGTGGGCAGTGCAGGTATTAAAGGCCTTCTGCCGAGCATCTGCTGAGGAGAGGCTGACCACTGCCCGGAGAATCATGGTATAGGAGTTGGTGATACACAGTATGTCAAAGCCCCAAATCAGGAGGGCAACCATCAGACCATAGATGGCATTGACCTTGACATTACCACAGGACAATTTGGCTACAGACATGTGGTCACAGTAGGTATGGGGAAGTATATTGCCTCTGCAGTAGGGCAGGAGCTTGGTGAGGAAAGTAAAGGGAATAATGAGTAATACCCCTCTCAGGAAGGTGGCAGTCCCAACCTTTGCAATTACAGGATTGGTGAGGATAGTTGAATAGCGTAAGGGGTAGCAGATGGCCACATAGCGATCCAGGGCCATAAGCATAAGCACCCCAGACTCCATCCCTGTGAAGGTGTGGGTGAAGAACATCTGGACAAGGCATTCATCAAATCCAATGTCCTTGAGATGAAACCAGAAGATGCAGAGGGCTTTAGGGATTGTACTAGAGCACATAACAAGGTCAGTAAAGGAAAGCATGGCCAAGAAGTAGTACATGGGTTTGTGCAGGGCATCCTCATAGTGAATGAGGTAGAGGAGTCCACAATTCCCTACCATAGCCACAACATACATAGAGCAGAATGGGAAGGAAATCCAGAGTTGTGTGTCTTCCAGTCCTGGGACTCCATTCAGAATAAATGAAGCTGGTATTAGGTCTGTTTTATTCAGTGTTAGCATGATAAGTCTGGTAGGTTATGAAATAGCTCAAAATTTGTCTGGGCTTTCCTAGAGTTAAAAAAAAAAACAAGAGAAAATATAGGTTATTTTTACTGTCTCCCTCTCCCCCAACTTTTAAAAATTCCATAATGCATTTTAATGGTCCAACAACCAAATTTCTGAGTGCCAAGAAATAATTTTGTTTGTCTGTTTAGTTTTATTGATTGATTAATTAATTGATTCAGTAAAAAATTCTTATTGAGCAGTCTAAGTTTTCAACACAGATGCCAATCAAACATCAATTATTTTATAAAAAGACATATTCCCAATCTCATAGATTTATAATCAAGTATAATTCTGACTTTTCAAATGGTATTTTTATTAGAATATCTTACTTAACTATAACTATACTCATCTCAATATAGATATAATTTTAAAGAAGAGTCATTTGATTACCTCACTGATGATCTGAGAGATGAGATGTTGACTTTTTAATTTTTATTCTTAATGACTGACTGATATTTATTCTTGGGTACTCAGGCACTGTTCAAAGAATTTTGAAATTTTAATTAAATTATTACTCAATGAAGCTTGGGGTCTCAAAAATTAGTAAATTTATTGGGTGTCTATACTCAATAATAATTTAATTGTATATTTTAAAATAACTAAAATAATATAATTGGGTTGTCTGTAACACAAAGGATAAATGTTTGAGATGATGGATACCCCTATTTACTTTACTGGGATTTTTTTTTTTTTTTTTTTTTTTTTTTGAGGCAGAGTCTTGCTTTGTTGCCCAGGCTGGAGTGCAGTGGCGCAATCTTGGCTGCAACCTCCACCTCCCGGATTCAAGCAATTCTCCTGTCTTAGCCTCCCGAGTAGCTGCGACTACAGGCACATGCCACCACGCCCAGCTAATTTTTGTATTTTTAGCAGAGATGGGGTTTCACTATATTGGTCAGGTTGGTCTCCAACTCCTGACCTCAGGTAATCCACCCACATCAGGCTCCCAAAGTGCTGGGATTACAGGCATGAGCCACTGTGCCCGGCCCTTTAAAAGGGATTATTACACATTGTATGCTTCTATCAAAATATCTCATACACCCATAAATATATACACCTACTATGTGCCCACAAAAATTTAAAATTAAAAAAGTCAATGAAGTTTTGATTCAATTTTTTCACTTTTCAAGATATCTTTCTTGTTCTTTATGTATCTAGTCAACGCAAACTAGAAGATATCCAAATGCATACATACAGAAAATATATAAAGTACTTCAACAACATCAGTAAGAAAAAGTTGCAGGAAGAAACATACACTTCAAAAGAGAAATAAAATTGCCAATGAACAGGTAAATAGGCACAAACTTTTATATTAATCAGAAAAATAAGTAAAAATTGTATCTCTCATGACAAAGCACCTTTTTTTGGTATGTAGTGACATACCAAACAGGACAGCTAAAATGAAAAGAACTAAAAATACCAAGCATTGGCAAAGATGTAGAACAACTGGAACTCTCATTTACTGCTGGTAGACATGTAAATTAGAACAACTCTTTATTAGATATCTCATAATGATAAACATACACATGACCACCATTGCCATTTCCAACAAAACTATGTATATATATTTACTAGAATACATCAATTAGAATGCTTATTGAAACATGATTTGTAGTATAGCCTAAAACTGGAAAAAACCTAAATGTTCATCAACATCAAATGGGTAAATAAATTTTGGTACATTCCCACAATGAAATACCACGTAACAATAAGAATAAACAATCTATGACTATATGCATAATATAGACGAATCTCACAATATGTGTTAATTTTTTTTAGAAAGACTTAAAATAGATGTAACATCTTGTGATCTTTAAATGAAATACAAAAACGGATCAAATTATTCTGTGCTATTAGAAATAGAAAAATCTTTTTAAAAAGTGAGAGAGAGTGATAACTGAAAGGCAGTATGTGGTAGAAGGGTCCTGTTAGTTGCTGGTCATATTCCCTTACTTGATTTGGTTGTGAGATATACAAGATTCAGGTTGTAAAAATCAATCAACATGTAATTGGATTAATTGTAAAATTGCATATGTATGTTAGAATTTATAATAACAAAAATTAAATTGCCAAGAGGATTAAAGGACGTAATATGTTAAAACATGCTACCACATTTTAAGTGCTCAATACCCATATTTGTATTTTCTACTCAGGCTGGCAGCCATTTTGGCAATGCTTACAAAAATTAACACCATAGGAATCATGAGTGCCACCAAATGAACTCTCTTTTGTGCCCCATCAGAGGAGGTATTCATCCTAACCTCCATTAATAAAATACACTGTTTTAAGATTAGCATCTGATAGGAAGTACAGTCACATGTTCTGCCTTATTGGGTAAGATGAAGAGGACAGATCAGATTTATCAAAAGGCAACTTGTTTTGAAAATAGTAGAAAAACACAGGTTAAACTTGTTAATAGGCATGCTCCTCAAAGATATGTACTCAAGTCATTACAAAATGTCAGAGTTATACTGGGTGTCATAGGAGCACCTGTGTGTCTAACCTAGCCTCAGGAGATGCTCCTAGAGAAGAGGACAGATGCTTCCAGACCTGGAGCATGATTAGAATTCTGACAGGTCAAAGTGGTAGGAACAGCATTTTCTTCTGTTGCTGTTTGCTGTTTCCTACTCATATCGCACTGACATTCTCAGCTTTGTGATAGGCAAACCTCTATCTCCTTGGTGCTCCCTTTGCCCACTCCCCTCAAATGTAGCTAATCCCTATACATTCTTCAAGCAGAACCATCATCAGGAGGTCTCAAATGTCCTTTGGACATGATAGCGACCCATCCTTTAAATTATTTTAAGATAATGTAGCTACCAATAGCCTTGACTAGGGGTAAGAAATTGATTTGTTCAAACAATTATTCTCTTTAATAATATTTCCCTCATGATATTATGAAAATCAACTTATATTTAGGAATTCTCCAAAATTCAGTGAAATCACCGATGTAAGGACAGTGTCTGGTAAAGCATCCTCAGAGCCGAGCAAATCAAATCTCTCATATTAGATACTCAATAAATGTCAATTTTAAAATAAATAAACAAATAAGTAAATGAAAAAGTGAATGACTCACCCGAAACACTTTATTTTGATAATTATTAAATTATAATCTAAGTATTATTAGATTGGTGCAAACATAATTGCGGTTTTTACCATTAAAAGTAATGGCAAAGCCACAATTCCTTTTGCACCAACCTAATATTACTTGGAATGTATAAAAGAAACCACTAGAAGGAAAAAAAAGAGAAAGTTTTACTTAAGATTACTAGAAAAGCTAAACAACATAAGGCATCTCTCTCATAAAGTAGAGAAACAGAGAATACAAAGTGGAAAAAAAAAGATGACAAAGGCAGAACAAACATTGGTTTTGGATATAAAAATAATTTAAACTTCCCATCAAGTTGAAATAATTCCAACTAATTTTTAAAAATTATATATGCAGTATAAGATTTCATCAGAATGAAAATTATACACAAAGGTTTAAAAATATATACAAACATAATATTTTTAGATAAACAGTATACCTCATACTTAGGATATACTAATACTAGAAAAAAGAATTCAAAGCTAAAACACTCAAGTCAAGATCACTTTGAGAAGACAAAACGCTTAGCATTGTGTAATTAAAGGTAATTGTACCAAATTGTTTTTTTTCCAAGTTTGATAAGGTTTTTCTATAACACAAATAACGAAAAGCACTTAAATTCACATTCTCACTTTGTTGATATGGAGGGACAATGTTAATATGAGGACCTCCCAAAGTTACACTTACATTACATAGCAGCTTATAAACTCATTTTTAAATTTTTAATTAAGGTAAGTGAATGGTTCAAAAATTGAAATTTTAGCTTTGGAATTTTCAGAAGTATGTTAATTATTATTTTGTAAAAGCATAAAAGATAGTCTTCAATACATGAAATGTTTTTCTATGAACATCAAAATTACAGGATTCTGCCTTTCAGACAGAATTTATAAACTATGAATTTATATTTTATATTTGTAGTCACTATTATATTTTTCAGATTTTTTACATATACCTCATTTTTCAGATGTTTTACAATATATTATTAAGCAAAATAACTGACAGTGACAGTGGCAATAATCCATTTATAAAACTACTTTTTCAATAATTTATAAAAATTTAGTATAAACTATTCAATAGTGTCACGATTCTTTTCTCCATCTCACTTTAATATATTGAACAGTGTCTTATTAAATGTGATGCTCAGTGCTTGTTTTGGGCTATACATTGCTTTGTAAATAGCAGCTCAGGATGCACTTTTGCAGCTTTTCTTGGAGTTAAAGTGACCATTTCAAGTAATGGAAAATGCTATTTTTAATGTCTTAATGAATTATGTGTGGAAAGAACAATTACCTGGGTGGAGAAAAATATACTTGTAGATCTGTATTGAACCTGCACATATCCAAGTATGTGTTCATGGTTCCACTGCATGTGAAATAAGTATCCATGTGTTAGAAGTAGGTAGAGAAATTAGGGGAAGCATAAATATCTCCTAAACCGAAAATAGAATAATTTGCTTCTGAGATTACATGCACACTTGTATCTAAATACTAGATAAATATTTTATTAGTATTTCCTATATTTTCTTGTTTTCGGCATACCTTTAGTCACTAAAACTGGTTTTATGCTTACACAACAATTTAGGTCCCATCTTCAACACATTTACAAAGCTCTCCAAGAACTACATAACTATCTAAGTATTATTAATAAGTACAAACGTATGCAATTTTCTTCCTAAAACATTTAAAATAGTTTGTACACATCAAAGTTTAATTTCTTCTGCAAAGAAATTTGACTTTGCTATGCTGGGGTGTGGAAAGAGTCATTGGAAAAGTAATATTGATACATGTTATCTTCTATCTAACCTCATTCTTAAACTCTGTAGGCCAATAAATTTGTTTTGTTTTGTTTTGTTTTCGTTCAACCATCTCCAATCTAGTAGACCCAACTTCTCATATGAGGGTTGCTTGCTCCGTGTGGATTAGATTTTGCTACTGCAAACACATGAAACAAAAGTCCTATCTCAGTCTTTCCAGGAAATAACCAAGGAAAATTAGACTATGGTTTGGGGGAAGTAAAGGAGAGCAAGTAAGAAGCAAGAGTAATGGGTAAATATTCTCTAGCTAGTCTTTCATTTCTCCTTATTGTGGGGGTAATCCACACTTGACTTCCACCACTAGTAAAAAAGGATTCCCATTTAAACAGAGAAATACACAGATAATCATAATCATTATAATTCACACTGAATTTTAATGCTTGATTTGGGAAAATAAATGTTTTCCAAAAGAACTCAACCTCACACAATGCTTCTTCCTTCCAACTATGTGATTGGAATCAATGACTTAGCTGGATAAATGATAAACAACTGAGATATACCCAAAGCTCCTCTTCACTTTATCTTGCTGACTACAGAAAATAAATTTTGTCACTATCCCCTCTTTTGCATATTTTTAGTACCTTCGTTTCTGGATAGCAGAACAGTGATCTGTAAACGCAATCTACTCCAGGTGTTAACAATCTTGGTCAAAAAAAATTCACAATCCTAGAATTAATATATGTATCCACAGCTATCAGCCTATAAATTCCTTTATGTCTGAACTATTGAACTGAGCCTTAAAAAAAATACATGTTATGTGTCCCAAGGGGATATTTAAGAATCTCAGAGACACAGATGTTGGTGTGAGAATCAAGATAACCTCTATGGGAAGAGGAGAAAGAACAAGAACTTTCCATTCTCAGTGTCCAAATAATGATACGTATATAAGCAAATAATCCCATATGTGTGTGTTTGTGTATTAGAGTGTATATATGAGTCAGGGAGAGAATGAAAATGAACACAAGTTATTTTAGTAAAGACTAGGATTTAATACTTACTGCAGATTAATGTTTTCTTCTTCTCCACTACCCTATGGGAAAGATATCAAAAGCACAGAAGTAGAGAATGTTTTGTTCATTCATAAACTAATCCATTTTTAAAATTTTTTTATATTAATGTATCATTTTACTTCTTTCAATTAACGTTTATTTAGAACTTTCTGCTTTCCACAGCAGGCTGGGAACTATGCAAATATGGCCCCTGGTTCAAAAAGTTTATTTTTTTAATAAAATTTTTACTTTTTCAAGTGAGAGAAATGAATTATGAATAGTTGGGTGTTCTAAAATGTAATCAAAAGTTTAAACTTATTACACTTATATATTAAATTAGGAAAAATTAGAGGAATATACAAACCTTGAAATAATCATCATTATGATACAATAATTAAAAATAATTATTATTGCTAAAAATAACTGATTATAAATTATATCCATTTTATGAAAATAAAAATAATAACATATGCTAACTTGAAAAAACATAACGGTATTTATAAGGAAATTAAAAAGCACTCATAGTTCTAACACTTGAAGTTATGGTATAGATTTACCTTAATTAAAATCCTATATATGTATTGCTATGCATTAACTATATATGTTTTAACAAAAATCATCATGTTGCATTATAGCATAAATATTACAATTTTAATTTAACATTATAAAACTAGTCCATTTCAAAACAGAATTACTATAGCTGATTAAAAGTTCATGTTAGATGTGTGTGATTTATGTAACAGCTTGATCTTATGTATGTAGATCCTTTCAAAAGAAAAATATGATAAATGAACATGGGTATGAAATTGCTGTGACATTTCTTACCTGATATTTTCCTCAAAATAGATTTTTATTATGTATTAGGGTCCCCATTTATTCATGACAATAGTTATGTGCCAAGTTGATAAGATACAGTTGTCTAATTGTCATTTAACTATGCTACCTTAGTAAGTACACTGTATTTAAAAATTTTATATTATTGGTTTTAATGCATTGTGACAGTAGTTACTTGTAGTATTTTCCTTTATTTTTCTTTACAGAACTTGTTGATGGTATTGAGTGATCTCATTAACAAGAATAAGATCTGGATTGGTTTAATGTTTTACACGTGATTGAGAAGAATAAATATTGTCTATGACTGGGGTATAGGCTCAGTATATATTCACAAGAAATGCCTCATTTATTAGGTTTACCGATTTTTTGTGTTCCTTTTTTAATTGTTGTATAAATTGTAGATGTTTATCATGTACAACACGATGTTTTGAAATATAATATATATATACATATATATACACATACATTGTGGAAAGGCTAAATCAAACTAATTAACATATATGTTAACTCAATTGTCATTTTTGTGGTGAGGACATTTGAAATCTCCCTTATTGCCCAAGAATACACTACATTTCTATGACCTGTAGATATGATGCTGTACAATAAATTTCTTGAACTTATTCCTCCTATATAACTGCATTTTTGTTTTATTTTATTTTATTTATTTTTTTAGATAGGAGGTCTGTCTATTTTGCAAAGGCTGGTTGGCCTTGAAGTCCTGGTCACAAGCGATTCCTTCCCCTCGGAATTCCAAATAGCTGGAACTAATTTTGTTACCTTTGACCAATGTATTTCAAATCCTCTCTCTCACCACTAACTCAGCTTCCCCAATAGCTGGGACTACAGGCTTAGCACCACCATACCCCATATTTTTTTTTTTTTTTTTTTTTTTTTTTTGGTATTTTTACTACAGACAGGTTTCACCATGTTGACCAGGCTGGTCTCCAACTCCTGGTTTCAAGTGATCCGCCCATCTTGGCCTCCCAAAGTGCTGGCATTATAGGCATGAGCCACTGTGCCCAGCCTATCTCACATTTTCTTTATCCTGTCATCCATTGATGTACATTTAGTCTGATTCGCTATCTTTGCTATTATGAATAGTGCTGAGATAATCATACAAATGCAGATATCTTTTTTATGTAATGATTCATTTCCCTTATGGTAAATACAGAGTAGTGCAATTGCTGGTGGTTCTAATGGTTCAAACTGTGGTTCTAATTTTATTTATTTGAAAAATCTCCATACTGTTTTCCATAAAGGTTTCCTAATTTACATTCCCGCTCACAGTATATAAGTTTTCTCCATGACAAAATCTGTTGTTTATACACATTTTAATCACAGATATTCTGACTGGTGTAAGACAATATCTCATTGTGGTTTTAATTTGCATTTCTCTGATGATAAGCAATATTCAGTATTTTTGCATATGTTTCTTGGCCACTTGTATATTTTCTTTTGAAAAGAAAGAGCATATACATATGTTTGTGTCCTTTGCCCACTTTGGAATGGTGTTATTTGTGTTCTTGTTGAGTTGCTTGAGTTCCTTGTAGATGATGGATTTACTCCTTTGTTAGATGCATACTTTGCCAATATTTTCTCCCATTCTGTAGGTTGTCAGCTTACTCTCTTGATTGTTTCTTTTGCTTTGCAGAAGCTTTTTAGTTTAATTATGCCTCATTCATCTATTTTTGTTTTGATTGCATTTCCTTTCAACAACTTACTCGTAAATTCTTTGCCTAAATCTCCAGAAGAATTTTTCCTAGGTTTTCTTCTAGGATATTTATAGTTTTAGATCTTATGATTAAGTCTTTAACCTATCTTAAATTAGTTTTGGCATATAATGAGAGATAGAGGTTCAGGCTCATTCTTCTACCTACAGCTATCCAATTGTTCAGCACCATTTATTGAATAGTGTGACCTTTCCCCAGTGTTTATTTTAGTGACTTTGTCGAAGATCAGTTGGTCATAAGTATGTGGCTTCATTTCTGAATACTCTATTCTGTTTTACTGATCTATGTGTCTTTATTTATACCAAAGCTGGGTAAGGACACACCAAAAAAGAAAATGTTGTTACCATGCATTTTGGTTACTATGCTGTTTTGGTTACTATAGCATTGTAGTTGAAGTCAAGTAATGTGATGTTACCTGATACCATGCTGTTTTGGTTACTATAGCATTGTAGTTGAAGTCAGGTAATGTGATGCTTCCAGATTTTTTTCTTTTTACTTAAGATTGCTTTGATTATTTGGCTCTTTTTTGGTTCCATGTGAATTTTAGAATTGCTTATTCTAATTCTGTGAAAAATGATATTGGTAATTTGATAGGGATCACATTGACTGTGTAGATTGCTTTGGGTAGTATGGTCATTATAACAATATTGATTCTTCCAATTCATGAGCATGAGGTGATTTTTCATATTTGCGTCATCTAAAATTACTTTCATCAGTGTATCATAGTTCTCCTTGTAGAGATCTTTCACCAGCATAGTTACATGTATTCCTAGGTATTGTATATTTTTTTCTAGTTATTGTTAATGAAATTGAGTTCTTGATTTTGTTCTCTGCTTGATTGTTATTAGTGTATAACAATGCTACTGATCTTTGTACTTTGATTTTATATCCTGAAATGCTACCGATGTCACTTTTCAAGTCTAGGAGTCTTTTGGATGAGTCTTTAGGGTTTTCTACATATAAGATCATATCATCAGCAAATAGAGATAGTTTGACTTTCTCTTGTTAAATTTGGATGCCTTTTATTTATTTCTTTTCCTTGATTGCTCTAGAGAGAGCTTCCAATATCATGTTGAATAGGAGTGGTGAACATGGGCATCTTTGGCTTGTTCCAGTTGCTGGGAGAAATGATTTCAACTTTTGCCCATTCAATATGATGTTGACTGTTGGTTTGATGTATATGGCTTTTACTATTTTTTAAGTATGTTCCCTCAGTGCCTAGTTTGTTAACAGTTTTTATCATGAAGAGATGATGAGTTTTGTCAAAAGCTTTTTCCACATGTATTAAAATGATTATATGTTTTTTGTTTGTTTGTTTGTTTTTGAGATGGAGTCTCACTCTGTTGTGCAGGCTGGAGTGCAGTGGCACAATCTTGGCTCACTGCAACTTCTGCCTCCCAGGTTCAAGAGATCCTCCAATCCTCCTCTCTCAGCTCCCCTAGTAGCTGGGATTACAGGCATGCGCCACCATGCCCAGCTAATTTTTGTATTTTTAGTAGAGACAGGGTTTCGCCATGGTGGCCAGGCTGGTCTCGAACTCCTGACCTCAGGTAATTCACCCGCCTCAGCCTCCCAGAGTGCTGGGATTACAGGCGTGAGCCACCACACCCAGCCTTTTGTTTTTAATTGTGTTATGCCCATATGTTAGGCCTCAGGGGCATATGGGCATGCATTTGTTGAACCACTTTTGCATTTGTTGAACTACCTTTGCACCACTGGAATATGACCCACTTGATTGTGGTGCATTATCTTTTTAATGTCCTGTTGGATTGTCTTGTAGTATTTCGCTGAAGATTTTTGTATCAATTCTCATCAGGAAGATTGGCCTGTAATTTTCTTTTTTGTTGCGTCCTTACCCGGCTTTGGAATCAGGGTGAAACAAGCATCATAGAACCAGTTAGGGAGGATTCCCTCCTCTTCAATTTTTTGAAACAGTGTCAGTATGATTATGACTAAATCTTCTTTATATGTCTGGTAGAATTTGATTGTGAATGCCTCTGGTCCTAGGCATTTTTTGTTAGAAGATTCAGTTGCACTACTTGTTATTGGTCTGGTCAGTATTTCTACTTTTTCTTGATTGAATCTTAGGAGGTTGTATGTTAACCAGAATTTATCCGTCTTTTTTAGGCTTGCTAGTTTGTACCCTCAGAGAGGTTCATTATAGTCTCTAATAATCTTTTATATTTCTGTGGCATCATTTGTCATATCACTTTTATTGTTTCTGATTTTGTTTGTTCAAATTTTCTTTTTCCTTCATTAATCTTGCTGTGGTCTATCAATTTTGTTTATCTTTTCAAAGAACCAACTTTCCATTTTCTTTATCTTTGTATTTTTCTGTCTCAATTTCATTTATCTCTTCTCTGATATTTGTTCTTTATTTTCTTATCCTAGCTTTGGGTTTTAGTTGTTCTTATTTGTCTGGTTCCTTGAGGTACAATGTTAGAGTTTTAAATTAAAATCTTTCTATATTTTTAATGTCGGCATTTAATGCTATAGACTTCCCACTTAAAACAGCTTTTGCCATTTCCCAAATGATTTAGTATATTGTGTCTCTATTTCATGTGTTTCAATGTTTAAAAAATTTCTGCCTTGATTTTGTTGTGTATCCAAAGATTATTCAGAAGCAGGTTGTTTGATTTCCAAGTATTTGTATATTTTTGAGACTTCCTTTTGGTATTAATTTTTAGTTTAATCCACTGTGGTGTAAGAATATGCTTGATATTATTTCAGTTTTTAAGTTTATAGAGACTGGCCTAGCATTTGAGCAATTTTTGAGACTGTTTCATGTGCCAACAGAAATATACAGAAATGTATGTTCTGTGGTTCTTGGGCAGAATGTTCTGTATATGTCTGTTTAGCATTTAATCTAGAGGGCAATTTAAGTTCAGAAGGTTTTTTTGGTTGATTTTTTTGCCACAGTGATCTGTCTAGGGTGGTCACTGGTGTATTGTAGTCCCCTCCTGTTATTGTATTGTTTCTACCACTTTACTTAGGTCCAATAGTATTTGTTTTGTGAAACTGGTTGCTCTGATGTTGGATGCATATATGTTCAGAATTGTCACATTGTATTCTTGAATTGATTAACATTGCACAATGTCTTTCTTTGTCTTATTTCACTGTTGTTTATATAAAGTCTGGCTTATATAAGTATAGCTAACTACTCCTGCTTGCTATTGTTTTCCATTTGTGTGAAACATCTTTTTATACCTTTTTGCTTTGAGCCTGTGAATGTCTGTGCTCATTGGGTGCATTTTAATAGGCAGCACATGTTTGAATATTGTTTTTAATCCATTTTCTCAGTTTATATGTTTTAAGTGGAGCATTTAGTACATTCCTGTTCAAGCTTAATATTAATACATGAGATTTTGTTCTTGTCATGATGTTCATTGTTACCTAATTGCTTTGTAGTTCCATTTTTGTGGTTGCTTTAGAAGATCTATGAGTTTTTTACTTTCACTTGTTTTTTTATTGTCGCAAGTATCACCCTTTTATTTTCTTGTTTAGAACTCCTTTGTGAACTTCTTGTAGGGCCAGTAGAGTGGTGACACATTTCCTTAGTGTTTGCTTATCTGGGAAAGACTTATTTCTCCTTCATTTACAAAGCTCAATTTAGCAGAACACAAAATTTTTAGCTGGTAGTTTTTTAGCTGGTAGTACTTTTGTTAAAGAAGACTAAAAATAGGACCCCAGTCCCTTCTGGCTTGTAAGATTTCTGTTGAGGAGTACTTTGTTACTCTGACGAGGTTTATTTTATAGGTGTTTTGATGTGCCTCTTTTGCTGCTTTCAGGATCTTTTCCTTCATATTGGCTTTAGATAGTCTGATGCCTATATGCCTTGGTGATGTTCATCTTGCAAAGTATTTTTCAGGTGTTCTCTGAGTTTCTTGTGTCTGGATATCTACACCTCTAGCAAGACTAGAGAAATTTTCCTAATTATTTCCTCAAATAAGTTTTCCAAACTTTTTATTTATTTCTCTTCTCCCTAGGAATGCCTATACCTCAGAGGTTTTATCATTTTACATAAACCTATGTTTCTCAAAGGCTTTGTTCATTTTTTAAATTTTCCTTCCTTCCTTCCTTTTTTCTGTTTTTCTTTCTTCCTCTCTTTCTTTTCTTTCTTTCTCTCTCTTTCGTTCTTGTTTGCTTGCTTTCTTCTAGGTTAATTTAAAAACCCGACTTCAGTCTCTGAAATGTACTATTCTGCTTGGTCTCATTTAAAGCTTTCAACTGTATTTTGTAATTCCTTCAGTGAATTTTTGGTTTCAGAAATTCTTTATTTTTTAAAATATCATCTACCTGTTTTTCAGCTCCTCCATTCCTGCTTTCTTGTGATTGCAGATGTTAGGCGTCACCCTTGTTGGCTGCCTATTAATTTGCTCTTAAGGACACCATTTCCATAACTCCCTACAGGTGAAGCCTCTTTGGCAGCTAGTTTACCCTTGCTGGTTTTTAAGTAATTGCTGTCCCCTGGCTTCTGGCAGTTATTTGCCTCAACTTGCTATCTGTTACTTCAAAGGTCTATCACCCCCACAACTACTAGACAATCCAGCTCTTTGACTGTCTCTCCTATCCTCACACCTGCTCTGAAAAGGAGAGCCATAGCTGAACATTTTAGTAATACTGGTGCCCCCACTCATTTGTGCATTCATTGGTGAATGTTGTGTTTTCTGGGGCGTTCCATAGAACATACTTTTCTGGTGACTCTTTTGGCCTCATATAATATGTCGATTTCAGCATCCCCAGCTGCTTCATCTTTGCATTGCCCAAGTGCAATGCAATGCCCAACTGCCAGGGCAACTCAGGCATTACCACTTGACTCATCATCGTCCATCACATTCTCCAGGCTTCTAAGAGTCACTGTCACAGTGAGTCTGACCCATCTCCAGGAATTCTGACCAGGGTGTTCAATACAGTGTCCACAATAATTTTCCCAAGTCAAAAAATTATTGCTTATTCTCTATGTTCTTATGTCTTAAGATCTTATCCTCTTGATTAAGCTCCCTTAATTTTCAATCCCCTGGATTCTTGCAGCTTGTTCATGCTGTAATCATACTGGAACTTAACCTTAGTTACCAGCCTGACAATGTAGAGAGGGCAGTAACCATAGTCTTGTATGAGAGAAACTTCTTTATTATCTTCCTGCATAAACTCCTTTATTATCTTCCTGCATAAACTTCTTTATTATCTTCCTGCATGAGAGTGTTAGCTCTCATGTTATAAATAAAGGAGTGAGCTAGTTTGCAAAATACATCTTCAAGGTCATCCTTTCAGATATCCACATCCCATGTTTCATTGCCCCAGATTTTCTCAACCAGAGTGCACACCTTGGTATAATAGTTCTGTCTTGTTAAGCATTAAACAGTCATGGAGTTCTGAGATGCAATTTTCTTTTTCTTCTTTTCTTTCCTTTTATTTCTTTCTTTTAGTACAGTGGTTCCATCTTGGCTTACTGTACGCTCCACTAGGCTGGAGTGCAGTGGCACTATCTTGGCTCACTGCAAGCTCCACCTCCCATGCTCAAGCGATTCTCCCACCTCAGCCTCCTGAGTAGCTGGAACTATAGGCACGCGCCACCACACCTGGCTAATTTTTGTATTTTTTGTAGAGACGGGGTTTCCCTCACTGCCCAGGCTGGTCTCAATCCTGGGCTCAAGAGACCTCCCTTCCTCAACCTCCCAGAATACTAAGATTAGAGGCATGAGCCACTGCACCCAGCTGAGACTCAAATTTCATGCCCAAGTGTACTCCCCCGCTGTTGTTACCCTTTTTACTTCAGGAGATAAGAGCATCTTTACAAGCTTTGCAATCTATCACACTTCATTTTTACTATTTGTTAACTGCCTTCATTTTGTCATTATTACTCTACGTGGTTTCCATATAGCACAGCAGTAATCAGTCGACTCCACTATCTTTCCTGCCATTGTCCACCCCTCCACATACCTTTCAAATGCCTTAAAGAGTTGAACCAGCCAGGGCATTTCCCTCCACAAGGGTGTTTTGTCACATTACGATTGGTAAAATTTTCAACAATTGAGTCAATTCCTTGTACTAGGGGATTAAATGTGTCCCGTATTGTATGATTTCACTCCTATTATGATCTGTGTTGGGTTTAGTCCTCTACAAAGCAGACAACTAGATAGGACTAGTCATCAGATAGGTTTATTGGGGGGAAAATGTGAAATGTAAAGGATAAGAAGGGAGGAAAAGATTAAGAGAATCTTTAAACCATGATGCAGCTCTGACAACCAAGAAAAGAGAAAGAGAAGGAAAGATTGCCTAAGAAAAGTATCAGCCCTCAGTGCAGCTCTGAGAAAGTCTTAGCCGGGCCAGTTCAGAGTCCTCATGCAAAAGTTGACCATTAAAGGAGTTTCATTTCTGGCCAGAATGGCCTAGCTCTCGTCCTCTTACTGTGTCTGGTCACTGTCTGGGAGCAGCCAAGGGAAGCATGAGCTTTGTGTGAAGGTGCAGATGCATCTAATGGTGTAGAAGCCAGAGGATGTCAGTCAACAATGCTACTTATATCAGGTTCCCTTGAAGGGACGTGTGAAAGGTGCACACACATTTTTAAATTTTTTAATTTTTCTAGGCTGTAATATGTAAGTTATTCCTGCTGGAATAACATATCATCTCATTTAATTTCATTGAACTGCCCACTTATCATGGTTTTTTTTTTTTTTTTTTTTGAGTCAGAGTCTCACTCTTTCACCTAGGTTGGAGTGCAATGGTGTGATCACAGCTCACTGCAGCCTCAAATTCCTGGGATCAGGCAGTCCTCCCACCTCAGCCTCCCGAGTATCTGGGACTATCAGCATGAGCCACCATGCCTGCCTAATTTTATTTTTATTTATTTGTATTTTTTATAGAGATAGGTTCTCACTATGTTGCCCAGGCTGGTCTCAAACTCCTGGCCTCAAGTGATCCTCCTACTTTGGCCTCCCAAAGTGCTAGGATTACAAGTGTAAGCCACTGTGCCCAGCTGATGATTCTTATTTAATATGAACACTATCTTCTTGTAACTTTATAGAAAATGTCAAACATAAATTTTCTTAAATTATCTTAATGTTCTCAACTATATTGTTAGTAAAAAAAAAAAAGTAGTCTTATGAATACAAAGGGCATGGAGTCTTTTCTCTTCATTAATTTTTAAATGAAAAAAATTGAAGTTTGTGTGAAAGGCCAGACTAATAAGAAAGATACATTATATTATTTTCATTTTACCTGAAAACTGATAGGGTTTACTTTTGAAATCTAACTGGAAGAGGAGTTGACATTATATAATGTATAACAGACTTTCTAGCAACTGGTATTCCTGCACCCAAAATTAATACTCATATTTCAAGGAATGTCCTAGCTATTTAATGGCATTAATCTGAGCATGTGTTTAATGGAAAGTAGCCTGGAAAAGATTGAAATACAAGACAATAATAGATTAAGCCTTATTTTGCCCATTCATTGTTTAGGACTATTTAAAAAAAAAAGAAAGAAAAGAAAACTCTCAAAGTAAAAATTTCACAGGGAAAAATTTCTATATCGACCTCCTGCCTGCAGTGTCTTTATATCTGATCATCTGAAGATTTTGCTGAAGCTGCCTACATTCTTATGTGGGTGTGGTAGTAGTAGTGGATGAGTAGCTATGGTAGAGATAGATGCTGGTGATATAAATAAAGCCAGTGAGTCAGTCAGGGTCTCAGAAAGGGAAAAAAAAAAGGCACAAAGAAATGTGAGTTTGAAGACAATTTAATGAAGTTGGTATTGAGTAGTAGGTTGTTTAAGAAAACAAGTGGATATTAAAAAATAATGGATGCTGGGCACTCAGAGACTACTATCAGGAAGCCTTTATCAGCCCCTTGGCCTGAAGAAAGAAGGCAAGACAAGCCTGTTACTATATTTCCATAAAAGCTGTAGCTGTAGCAGGTGGGTGGCCAGAGAAGGGACATATCCAGTGAAAACCCTCATGTCAAAGCAGGCTGGGAGTAGAATAATAAATAGCCCAAATGCTGTCTCCTCTTGAACTATAATCTGTCACGCATCACATTGGCTCAATTCAACTGAACACCGAAAGACAAAGGAGTTTGGGCTTACAATATGTGAAAGTCAGCCCTCCAGTTTACAGAGCAGTGCACAAAGGGCAGACAGCAAATCTGGGGAGGCAAACGGCGTAAGCACCAGATCCTTCTAGCTAGATGAATCTTTTGGGTTCTGTCTGTCCAAGCTGAGTCATCTCATATTCCACATAAATCCTCATCATTGACTGATTTGGCTTTATCTGAATTATTTTCTTTTCCGACCTCTGTATTTCATATTACTGGAGTAATGCTTGTTTAGGCAGACTGACTTTGCTCCCAAGTTACAGCTCCCAAGTTACAGCTAACAATGCGCAAGCATGACCTGTGATTCATGTCCCAATCACTCATTTGTCTGATTGAATGTATGTGTGTCTGTGTGTGTATTTGTGGGTGTGTGATTATATTCATTTTTATTTTAAGAGATAGATATCAATCATTAAGTTCTTTAAATCCAATTTGATTTGGCAGAAATTTCTTCCATATTCTCAAATATATTTAAATATTTAGCTTTTGTCAATATTTTAGGCTACTGTGATTTTTTGTATCTTTTCTGAAGCTTTCACAATTATTTACATACAAATATAAAAAGGGAATCCCAAAGGTATTCACTTACTCATTTATCCTCTTTGAAATTTTACTATCCAGTTTAGGAGAAGCTGAGGTTCATGTACATCATGGAGAAGGTCTCTAAGATCTTATTTCTTTTGTAAGGGCAAACAGCACCTTTTGGAAGGCTGCCCTAAGTTCTTTGGTCTGAAGTGCATAAACTGTAGGGTTGAGGGAAGGGGGGATGATGTTGTGCAACACATTAAGTAGAACTGGAATCAAAGTAGCCTTCATCTCTGTCAGATGAGTCACTGAAATCACTACAACAATAGTGTAAAAGAAAAGGATGAGGGTGAGATGTGAACTACAAGTGCTCAGGGCCTTGGCTGCAGCTTCAGCTGAGTTCAGTCTAAGTACAGAGTACAGAATCAAAATATATGACAGTATAATAAGACTTAGATCACTCCCCATTCCAAGCCATGCCAGAACCAACTGGCAAATGCTGTTTGGCCTCCTGTCATCACAAGCCAGGCTTGTGACCCCAAGGTTAGAGCACAGGCAGTGTTCAATTTCATTCTTGGAGCAATAATCACGCTGTGCTGCAAGCACAGGCACTGGAGTGACAAATAAGCCATTTCTCAGCACCATGAACAGGGTAGCTTTTAAGATTAAGGAACTGGTGACAATTGATGGATAGCGAAGAGGGTGACAAATAGCCACATATCTATCAAAAGCCATGCAGAGTAGGATACCAGACTCCATGCCCACAAAGAAGTGAATGGCATAAATCTGAGCAAAGCACTCAGGGAGGCTAATAACCTTGGCATCAAACCAGAAGATGGCCAGGATCTTAGGGATGATAGTAGTGGCCAGACCCATGTCTACCATACAGAGGATGCCAAGGAAAATATACATGGGCTGCTGTAAAGAAGGGTTCTGCCAGATGATGATGAGGATGAGGGTGTTTGCAGCAAGTGCTGAGAGATACAGTAGTGCCAGGGGCAGAGATAGCCAGTGTTGCCAGCTGTGAATGCCCGGGAATCCCAGCAGGATGAACTCAGAGACCTGGAATTTGGAGCTATTGGAGATTTTGAGAGATGCAGACATATGATTCATGATTCAACATGAATTTCAAATCTCTATTTGTATTGTTCTCAGTTATCACAGGTTGGAACCACCACAGAAATAAAATTGTAGTATTTTTCTAAGCCTTTCTTCATCTCTTTAGAAATTATATAGATTAAATGGATGTGCTTGTTTTCTTCATATTTATCTCAGTGTTACTTGACTTGATGCAGAGGTTTATTAACTAATAATAACTAGATTTTTTAAATGAAGAATTATGGGAGATGAAATTTATAGCTACATCATTTCAAGTTGATATAGATGTCCATTAACGTCTTACATAGCCTTTCAAAATTTTGATATCATGGACTTGTAAAGGTTTCCAGAAATAAATTATATTGAGGATTTGGGGATAGTTTTCTTTCATGTTCTATTTTGTATGCACTTCTGAGGAGGTTGCAAAAGAGTAGCTTAAAAGGAAGTTAGTGATTATGGCTGAATTTCTCCATATGAGAAGTCATATAATGAAGACATACCTTAGTAAGTTTTTTTATAGTTGAATCTTAGAGAACCTATAAAGACATAAATACAGGATTTAGGTAAAACTAATAAGAAGCTTTTAAAGATTCCTGTGATAACAACACAATATTAGATCAACTCTATTCATTTTTTAGTGAATACAGGCACAATGTTGTACAGCTGGTCTCTAGAACTTATTCATCTTGTACAACTAAAACCTTCTAACCATTGAACAGTAATTTTAACTTATTTAACAAACAAGAATTATTTGTCCATAATGTTGAAGGAATTGCCATTCAATGCTCAAAAATCATGGTTAAAATTAGACTCATTATCTTTTCTACAACTTTGTTGTTATCCATTTACTTTTTATTCTGCATGGTGGCTCGACCAGACAAGCTTGAATCTAGAAAACTAACCTTCCCTTACTGCAAATAATTGCTTATCATATTGTTGATTTCTTTTCTTTACTTCATTCATATGCACTCTTTTTTTTCAGTATGCTTTCTGCAACCTGCCTGGAGCAAATGTTTCTGATTTTCCATAATTCTTTCTTTCTGCTAGCAATCTGATCTTTCAGACACTGGTATTCCTTTGCTTAAAATAATTCATGGTTTCACATTTTCTTTCAAATACAATACTTTATTATTACAATCCTTTATTTATTTACCATTTATTATTTATTTACTATTACAATCCTTTATTTTGCATAAAACACTCTCAGATATGACTCAAACCGAAGTGAATATAATCTCTTGCTTTGAACTTCTTTGTATTTTACACTGCAGATACATATAATACTTACTCTATGCTAAAATTAGTAATTTTTCAAGGCATTTTATTTCCAATATTTTTGCCATGGTGGAAGCTATTGCAGGTTTATGAGCAAGAAACAAAAACTGGAAAGCTATGTTCAAAGGTTAAAATGTTATTTTTAATATATTAGTTATGGGTTGATTTTTGATATAATTATTGTTAAATACCAAAAAAATCTGGAAGAAAATAAAATTCTTTTGTTGTATCAATTCTTATTAAAAACTAAATGTATTTCCTTTCAGAGGTTTCTTACTGCCTGTATGTTTGAATAAACATATACTCCCAAATGATGGAGTAAATCATCCTTCTTTAATGGTGAATGTAATTTGATAAAGAGTAAAATTATCTAAATGTATCTACAGAAAATTTCAATGACTAAAGAGCACAAGCAATAATGGAGGTAAAGCTAGTTTGACTTTGAGCTTTTAGAGGAGAATTCTGAAGGGGTTCAACACAATAGTTTTATCCTGGATGCGTGGAAGTATGTAACCCATTTGATGTACAAGGCCTGGCATTTTTACTTAATACTCATTTATTACTTTACATCCTAATATCACATAACATTTTATCTTTGATGTTTTCTCTATTAAAATTTTTTTCTGATTTGTATATGTGTGATACAATTAAGAGAAGTAGTATGTTTGAGCTCACAGAAAAAGAATTGTTTTTAATTTTTTTTACAATTATATTCTAGCATGACATAGAATACGATTCTGCTATATAAAACAGTTAATATATTAACCCTGAAGATAATCTGGCAGTGTTGTTTTTTGATTACAGACAAGGTAACTTCTAGTGCACCATGTGAGCCTTAATATTTTCTAATTCTGACTTCAACCTTTTTTGGAAAGGCCCTCTAATCCTCTATATGCTACTAAAACAGAGAGAAATGTCAATCTTTTTGCAGAATGTTGACAAAACAACATAATGTTTAGGATAAGCCATTGAACTCTCTGGAATTTAGCCAAAGTGACCATGAGAAGATTTTATCACTTACCTTGCTTATGAACACAGACTCACAGTCTGGGATCCTAGGCGTGGCAGAAGTTTTCTACTGGGCAAAGACAGAACTTTATGAGAAAGATGCTTTAACACAAGATAAAAATGTGTTGTCAGCTAAGATGTGGCACAGAAATTATAAACTTCTGAAATTTATGGAGAGTAGTAAAGCAGCTCAGTGACCTAAGCATAATAGATCTCATTTGCAGACATGATGAAAGACCTATAGAGAAAGCTGAATTCCTAGGATGTTAAATCCCACTAGAATAGAAAGCAGATTAACTCAAAAACATGTATCCTATTAATGTAACCTAAGAATTTACATGAATAGAAGAATATCTTCATTTATTAAATCAAAATGGACCTATAAAGGTGAGAAATTTTAGAGTGTTTGAATGGTTTTTAAGCACACAAACTCTGGGTGTTCTAAATTCTGTGGCTAGGAGATTTATTTAAACATTTTTAAAGGAGAAAGCTTTCATTCAAAAATACATATTTAGTTCTGTCTGTGTTTGAAAAACATGTTAGGCATAAAGTGATCAATAGAACAGTCATCGTTCCTGTTCTCATTGAAATTGTGGTCTAGTTGAGGTGGGGGGAGAGAATAATAACAACAAAATCAAGCAAATATATAATAATAGACTGGGATTAGTGCTTTAAAGCAAAAGTACCAAGTGATAAGAGTTCACATGAAGAAAAAAATAATCTCTTGTTGTCAGAGAGGATATCCTGAAAAAATGTTTGTTCTGAGGGCAATTGTTTGAGTAGAAGATAACTATGGTGTGTGTGTTGGGGTGGGGATAAAAAAGACTTTTTATCCAGGAATCTTTGAATGTTAAAATGAGAGGGATCAAGGCATAGTCAAGGTAACAACAGAGTGTTACAACAATGTGTCTGGTAATCTCAGTGTAACAACAAGGTAACCTCAAGGTGACAACAATGTGTCTGGAAACCTCAAGGTGTGGTGGAACATGGGAGGTGATGTGAGATGGTGCTGTTGAGGTCATAGTGGTCAGATAATTTTAAGCAAATTTATGCTAAAGCAATATGGAGCCACTGAAAAGGTTTAGGATAATTTAGGCATGGCAGCAATGTGAAGACCAGATTGTACATGGCAAGAATAAATATAAGTAAGTTGGATGAGCACTGACAACAGTACTTCAAGGGTGAGACAGCTTTATTTTAAGCTATGAAGATATAGAGAAATGGATGGATATAGAAGTTATACTGGATGTAAATTTTATAATATTTATGACCCCAAAATAACTCTAAGTTTCTCATACATGCACTGGAATGGAATATGTCATTCATGTACCTAAGGATGACTGGAGAAGAACCAGATTATAAGGGAAGAGAATGAGTTCAAATGAGGTCATGACCAATATGAGGTGCCTACCTTTGAAGCATCCAAGAGATTATTATTTAGCAAAGAGAGGAAAAAGTAGTTCCAGAGAGCAAAGGAACAATTTGAGAAAAACTGGAGTGACTAGTATTTTATTTGGAAATTACTGGAATATTTGAATTAATGCTATTAGCACAAATAGATGTTTTAGCAAGTGAGGATAGTGACAGAAAGAAGGTGGTCTAGCATGTAGTTTCTAGAAACTCATCATGATGTCTAGGTAAATGTTGAGAAAGAAAAAGAGACCGAAAATAACCTATATAGGAAAAGACAGATTGATTTTTAAAGAAGAAGGCAAAGAAATTGATTCATAATTTTACTGTACTGACAGATCTAATGAAACATAGTTTAAAGTAATATTGATGGATTCAGTCTCTTGGAGGTTACAAATGACTTTTTGAAAAGAACTGTCTATTTTTGGAGTGCATAAGAAAAAGTCATATTGGAGTGGGCTAAAGAGTAAGTTAAAGGCTAGGAAATAGAAAAATTTATGCACATAACATTTTAAAGAAGTTTGTACAAACAAGAAAATGTAGGGCAGAAGTTGGAAGTTTAGAGTTGGAAGTTGGGGTTTAGAGTAATTTGTAGTAGAAAGTAGAATGGTGGTTACCAGATGCTGAAAAGGATAAAAGGTGGGGAACTGGGGGATGCGGAGATGTTGACCAAAGTGTATAAAGGTTCAGTTAGACAGGAAGAGTAAATTTTCAAGAACTATTGTACAACGTGGTGACCACAGTCAATAGTAATATATGGTATGTTTCAAAATTGCGAAAGAATAAATGTAAAATGTTCTTACTGCAAAAAAAATAACTTTATGAGGTGATAGTTATGTTAATTAGACTGATATAATCATTCCACAAAGTATACATATATCACAATATCACATTGCATCCCTTATATATATTAGTCAATTAAAAATGAAAATATACATCAAAAATAAAAATTAAATTTTAAAAAGCATTTCTTGTTTTAAAATCGGGAAAAATAATGCATCTTTGGAGGTTGGTATGAACTATTTGGTAGAGAGAAAAATAGATTGTTGATAAGTCAGAGAGAATTGGATAAATAAGAGCATATGGTTGCTGAAAAAAGGAGGGGTGATGAGAGCCACTTTCCATGGCTCACATGGCAGGGACCTACCTCAAATTGGAAGAATGGTACCTGTCAATTAACCTTAGAAAATGTGGTTAAATGTTTGCCTATGTAGGTAGGTGTGATATAATACATTTGTTATGTTTAGTTAGAGGAAATTAAGAGCTACCATTTGGTAATGTTTTAGGGAAATGTTTGGACCAAGAACAGGAAGGAAGCTGCAGATTAATGAGAAACTTATTTTTAATGTAGAGAAAAGGCTTACAATTCTGAGACGTACACAACAATTCTGGAGGTGCCAGAAAACCCTTTACTGTATTACATCAAATAATAATTCGATATTATCACAATTCTTGCCTCCCCTGCTGGTTTCTCTGCTTTCTTCCAGTAAACTTCTTGAACATACAAAATGCTTAAAGAAGCTCATTTACAATGAATGAGAAGTGGATAAGATGTAGGAACTTATCCGACCCTCAGCAACTTAGAGCGCTTAGACTGCAGAATATGAAGTAATAGAGCAGTAATTCCTCAATGTCCTTTTCATAATCTGCCAAATATGTGAGTCCATTAGTCCAGTGCTCACTTAGAAAATGATTCTTCCTGAAAGTTTTTAGTTTTCATTGCTCTTCAAATTAGACACTATGACTAAATTCTCTATTAACTGAACAGTATACACGAATGGAAGGGATGAGGCTGTACCTTTTGACCATCCTACATTGCTTACTCTTACAAGGAACAGATTCCAAATACTAATATAATTTGAAGTCTGCTTATAGTCAAGGTGAGTTCAAGATGATATCATCAGAAGCAAGAAATAATGACAGTGGGAAGGAATTAGTTAAGCACACCATCGGTCATAATTGAAAGAAACAAAAAGGCAAGAGAAGTTTCCTAATGCAATGAAGAGCACAGTGTTTTCTGCATAGACATCTAGTTGCTGTCTCCTGCAGGAAGCCCTCTGCCTTGACACTGTTCTGGATTTTCAGCTCTTCCTTTCATGGTCCCCATTGCTATGGACTTAGATTGGAATGAGTGAGAAGTTAGCCAAAGATGGATCTCTGAGAAACACCAACATTTAAAAGTCAGGTTCATTAAAAATAAAATAAGGGGAAGAGGATGAAAAACATTAGAGACATGAAAGAAAAGCTGGGATTGTGTGGGATCATAGAAATCACAGTGGATAGATTTTGGAGAAGTAAGTCATAATATAACACAATTTAAGGTAGTTCTGTTAAAAATGGTTACTGCTGGCCGGGCGTGGTGGCTCACGCCTGTAATCCCAGCACTTTGGGAGGCTGAGGCGGGCGGATCACGAGGTCAGAAGATCGAGACCATCCTGGCTAACACAGTGAAACCCCATCTCTACAAAAAATACAAAAAATTAGCCAGGCATGGTGGCGGGCACCTGTAGTCCCAGCTACTCAGGAGGCTGAGGCAGGAGAATGGCATGAACCCGGGAGGCAGAGCTGGTAGTGAGCTGAGATTGTGCCACTGCACTCCATCCTGGGCACCAGAGTGAGACTCCATCTCAAAAAAAAAAAAAAAAAAAATGGTTACTGCTGGCTTTGATGACAGGTATTTCTCTGGAAACATCAACTTCTGGTTGAAGTTAGATTGTAATATAAGAAAAGAATAGGACATAAGAATGCAGCAATAATTAGTTCCAAAAATATTTTTCATGAACTTTCATTTAAAAAAAATCACTAAGGTTATGAGAAATTTTTCTATGGGGCAAATGTGCCAGTAAATTCAAATGGGTTATAAACAGGAGACATCCAAGAAGTAACTGATAGTCTGGGATCCCAAAGGCATATTATAAGAGGCTTTCTTGAGAGGAAAAAGAAATTGGCAATAAATAAATATAGCAAGAAAGGAGGAAATAATGGCTATACACATCAAAAGTTTATATGAGGATTATAATTGGAGACAGTTTATTCCTTGTCATTTCATTTTTTATGGAATTGAAATCAATGTAATATTACAAACATGAGTGGCCGGAGGTGTATAAGGGGTTGATCATGATATAAACTTATTATTGTAAATCATAAAAGGTGAACACATAGACATCTAGCATTGAGATTCACATTAAAGTGAGAAGTTATGAACAAGCAGTGCTTATAAGTATATTGCTTACAATACACTTTAGAAACGTTCTACAAAGTATAGAAACCCATGATACAGTATAAGATTGTTACACAGTTGGGGTTGTAGGTTTCTGTGCTAGAAAAATGGTCAATTTGGAGAACACAAAAGTAATTTTGTTGATGAACTGTAGTGTTAGAATTGTATATAAATCTTAAAAATCTATTAAGAATATCTCGGCCGGGCACGGTGGCTCACGCCTGTAATCCCAGCACTTTGGGAGGCTGAGGCAGGCGGATCACAAGGTCAGGAGATCGAGACCATCCTGGCTAACACGGTGAAACCCCGTCTCTACTAAAAAATACAAAAAATTAGCCGGGTGTGTTGGCGGGTGCCTGTAGTCCTAGCTACTCGGGAGGCTGAGGCAGGAGAATGGTGTGAGCCTGGGAGGCGGAGCTGGTAGTGAGCTGAGATCATGCCACTGCACTCCAGCCTGGGTGACAGAGCGAGACTCTGCCTCAAAAAAAAAAAAAAAAAAAAAAATCTCAATTTAAGGATTAGATACATGGACACAGGAAGGGGAACATCACACACCGGGGTCTGTTGTGGGGTGGGGGTGAGGGGAGGGATGGCATTAGGAGATATACCTAATGTAAAGGACGAGTTAATGGGTGCAGCACACCAACATGGCTCATGTATACATATGTAACAAACCTGCACGTTGTGCACATGTACCCTAGAACTTAAAGTATAATAAAAAAAATTGAGGGTTAGAATAAAAAAATTAAAACCAGTGACAGCCCATATACTAGTACTCTCCCTATAAAAAGTGATTATTTTTTCTCTGAAAAATGGACAGTGCTCAGCCTACTTCACTGAGTTTCACTATTTGTGCACTGTTTATCCCAACATATTTGAAGTGTCCCAATAAAACACTTATATTCCTGACAGAGACAGAGCTTTGAAGAGCTGGGCATTGGCTTTCTACCTCAGGACTGATACTTTCCCAGGACAGGAGTGTCTGTGAACTTCCACAAGGGAGTTTTGTGTTCCCTCCACCTAACAGGGTAGGATGGCATATAAGCGGATGACAAGCAAAAAATGTGTACTATTGGCGAACTCAAAATTGAAAATGCTAATTTGTTAAGAGAATGTGTTTGATAAATTGTCTGAAGCTATTTGGTGAGGAGTGGACAGAAAGCTCAGTATGTACAGTAACTGGTTTCCAATCTTAGTTTCATGGATATAGTTAGGAACTTTCCATCACCACATGGAGTTACTAGAATCAAGCTTAATCTTCTTTTCATTATAAATAAATAGAAGAATTAATAAATACAGACTAATTTCATAATTAAGAATTCCCATTCTGAGTGGTTTGGGTAAGTGGCCATTTCTTATAGGTTCAGGAGATAAGTCAATGACTTCTGAAAGGTCCTCCCATTGTATGTATGTACAAGAATAATTGGAAACTGCTTGTGAGGGATGATATCCAAGGTCATTCAGACTTAGGTTAGTTCCTGAGAGGCTGGAGACAGGAGTGTACCTGTGAGATAAATAGAAAATGTCTAGAAATGAAGAGTTATTCCTAACCTCTCTTGTGCCCTCATTCATAGAAGTCCTAAAGGATTCTAGTTTTCACAGCTTTGTTCTGCCACTAAGTAACATTGTGGATGCTGGTGGATCTTTTTCTCCTCTTGGTTTGAAGCTCTAATGGAGAAATACAGGGTTTATGGAAAAGCATGATAAATTTTTTGCGGCTTTAACTACTTTAACTGTGGCTATATTGTCCTATCTTCTGATTCTTGCAGCTGGTAAGATAGCTGGTATATCCTAAGGTATGAAATTAGAAATCCATGCCTGGAATATTGGAAGGGTGCCAGGAAATGAGAAGAGATCTTATGGCTATGCAGGGACTCTTCTAAACTGCAGCAGGGTAGAAACCCTCCAGAACACAGTGGGTTGTTTTCAATATCTGCACGTTACCCAGGTTGCAAGAATCTTCCCATGTTTACACTTCTCTGAAAGGAAAGAAAGAATGCCCTTCTCTGTGATTTATCATTCTTGGAAATGGTCTAGAAAGTTCTGCAGAAGACATTATCCCCCTCTTAAAAGCTCTTTCTGGTCTCACATACTGAGGATTATCTTGAAAAGGTTTTTTTTTTATTTTGGATTAAGTCCCTCTATACTCCAGGGTCACTCAGATGCCTTGATGCCCATTTCCTGCCCACTTTGAAACACCCTGACAACTCTTTTACGGATCTGTTTGGTCTTAACTCCATATACCACAGGATTAAGAGCAGGTGGCAAAAGCAGATAAACATTGGCCAAAAGAATGTGAATATGGACTGGAACGTGATGGCCAAAGCGGTGTGTAAAAAAGGAGAAGAGGGCTGGTGTATAAGAGATGAGGATGACACAGACATGGGAACCACAGGTCCCTAGGGCCTTGGACCGAGCTTCATGGGATGAGAGGCGAAGGACAGCTTGTGCAATTAGGGCATAGGAGAGACCAATGCAAAACAAGTCAACCCCAGTGACCAACAGTGCAGCTGTCAGCCCATACACACGGTTAGGCCTGGTGTCTCCACAGGCCAGCTTCACCACAGCCATGTACAGTACGTGTGTAGGATCACATGGCTTTGGCAGAAGTTCAAACGCCCAATAAAGAAGGGACATGGGAGCATGAGCAGGGAGCCTCGCACTACAGCTGCCACCCCTATGTGGGCAATGATGGTGTCAGTGAGGATTGTGGCATAGCGGAGTGGGTGGCAGATGGCCACGTAGCGATCAAAGGCCATGGCCAGTAGCACAGTGGACTCCATCATGCAGAAGGCATGAATGAAGAACATCTGTGCCAGGCAGGCAGAGGCAGATATATGTCCGGCTCCACACCAGAAGATAGCCAGTAGCTTGGGAACTGTGGAGACAGAGGCAGCCAAGTCGATGGTTGAGAGCATGCACAGAAAAAGGTACACAGGCTTGTGCAAGACTGGTTCAGTGGCAACAACAACCAGAATAGTTATATTGCCCACAATTGTGGCTGTGCCTAAGCCACACACAGGGAGTGAGAGCCACAAATGAAATTGTTCCAGACCTGGGATGCCCAGGAGGAAGAAGACAAGAAGGGTCAACATCAGTGTGATGAGGAGATTCCATGTTGTGGCCAAGAGTGCTGGACATTCTCTGTGGTCAGAAACCTCCACATAGTATCACATTATCTGGAGGAACAAGATAGAACAGAGATAGGAATGAGAGAATAGTAACACTTACTGGCTATATCATGTTTAGAAAGCTTCATCATCCATAAAATAGCAATAATAATCATATCTATTCCCTATAGAGAAGAGAATTATATGGGTTAATATGTCTAAAGATTTCTAAAGAGCTTTGAATAATACCTGATATATAATGCTTATTAAATAAAATAAATGAACGTGAGAAAAGGCTCAAATAAGCCTTTAGATAAACTAGAATTGTCTCCTAGCTAAGGCTATACACATATACCTGAATACATACATACACACAAAGAAACACACACACATACATACACACTGTCTTTTATGGAGTATAAGAAGAAATTAGGCATGACTATCAGTTTGGTGACACAAACTACAAACATAGTTCACTGGGTAATCTTGGACTTTTTTTTTCTTGTCCTTTAAGTTGGAATAGATTCTAATTTGGGACCCTGTACTTAGTAATTATTTTTGAACTTAATATTACTCTAGTCGTTTCCACTCTTTTTACTAAGCTATAGATATATTTTCACATATATCCGCTCAATCTTCATCTGAAATTTCATAAGATGCTTCAGCTATCCTTTCCCCAAAATGTTGAAGGTAACCCTTTTGGACTTCATTCTATTTATGAAACTGAAAATTCCAAGCTTTTTCAGCCCACATCTTGGTCAATCCTTTATTCACATTCCATCTGCTGTACCTGGTAATTTCTAAGAAAGGGCATAGTCAAATCCTTCTCAATGTTACCATTCCACAGTGGCAAGAAGCGATTTTACAAGAGTACTTTGACTTTACCTGGACAGTGATGACTAATGTGCCTGATGTCAGAATACTAGGGGCAAAAAAAGCTCAAGGAAATCTAAGGTTCTGCTGATTCCCTCTGCCTAGTTTCATGCTGTTCATCTTTATAGCGTCTGTCCATCTCACTAGGCACACAAATTCCCCCTTCCATGCTTCATGAGAAATTACTGCTTGTTAGTAATTTCAGGAATATTATAGTGAATGCCATAAACTTTCTTCACAATGCCTCGCATGTCTTTCATCTGGTTAACATATCACTTGCTTCTTCCTTTCCAGGTAGTTCCCCACTGTGTTCCCCTTTCCAACTACTCAGCTTAACGCCAAACTATAATTTCTGTTTCAGGATGCCTGCTAACTAAAATTCCAAATTAGACTCTACAGAGGTGTTACTCGGGGAAATTTCCTTTCCTGGATATTCTCCATGCTTTCAAGCAAATCTTTAAATCTTTATTTTAAATCTTATTCTCCATGCTTTCAAGCAAACTTTCCATAACCAGTTTGCACAGAAAAACTTCTCTTGAGGGCTAAGAAATGCCTTTTCCAGAGTCTTTTCCTAGCCAAACTCACAGGATTCCAGGAGAGCAGAAAAGAGAAGGCACCACAGTGTAGAAGCATCCTCAGAAGATTGCAAGAACATTACAAGTCTCTGCTCACCCTCAACTATCTGAAATACATTTCACAGCCCCCTGGGAGTGTACTGGCTTGCACTGAGTTTAAGGCTAGAGCTGCCTAGGGAGCCTCTGTGTTCCCTAGGAAATTGGGCATTCACGCCCTACTCTTCTGAATGCAGTCCAGATCAGAATGTGAAGGTGAAGCCAGAGGCTTTTGTTAAAGATTCAGGGAAGACATATTTGTAGTCTGTTCCCTTGGAGTTCTTTTCCTGTTGTTTTGGTTTGGTTTTAACTCCCCACATATCAGTACTGGCACCATTTCCATAAGGGCAGCTAACATTTTAGAGTCATTGAGGATACAAATACTGTGGTTACTTGAAGGCAGTTCTACCACCCAAAGGATTCCAGGACATGCTTTCTTTCCCCTCCACTCTTTTCTGTGATTATCTCTGGCGCATTCTGCTATGTTTACTTTTTCCTAAGACTCTAATACTGTAGAGAATTTACTACACATGTTCCCAGACTTGCTGACTGGCTTTGTAAAATGCTCTGCTGATTTTTTTATATTGCCTGTGAATGATGTAGCAAGATGGTAATGAAACTCAATAGGAAATTGTACCCATACATGATATCTAGGAGATGTGACTTATTAAAGACAATTTTTCACCATATAAAGTAATTATCTTACGAACTGAGCACACCAGAGAAGACATGCATTAAGCATTACCAAACCTATATCTCCTGGTGGCCTTTGCTGAAAACCTGTCCACTGTACTTATTTCAGTAAACTATATTGTCAAAGAGCTCATTTGCATTAAACCTAAAACCTAATTTTTCTATGGACTAACTTACTCTTGGTACCAATACTCTAATACTCAAATATTTATTTGGTATAGCCCTACCACTACTGTAATTTACTCCACCATGCATCCCTGACCTTCTTCAAGTTATGAATGAGTGTCTTAAACCTCTCAGAAAAGTAGCTCCTGCCATGATCTGGATTCCACATTATGCAGGGAGAGTTTGGAGAATTGTCAATGTAGAACTGTAGTCTTTTTCCACAGTTTATGGCAGTTGGACTCCTTATCATCTTTACTTAAGTCGGTCTCCTTATTCTCTTTCCAAAAGCTCCCCTGGTTATTTTCTCCTTCAGCCACACCCTATCTAAAGAGATCTATCCTTACCATGAACAGTGCCCACACCTGGACTGGATCTGAATTCTGGTGATCATACTCTATCTTAGCTCCTGAGAGGCTCTCTAAGCCAGTGGTTTGAAAATGTTCTTGTACTTCTAAACTACTTACCGCTCCTGTTAAGCAGATTGCTAGTCCACATCCCCAGAGTTTCTAATTCAGTGAGTTTGGAGCACGACCTCAAAATTTCCTTTACTAACAAATTTCCAATTAAAGGGAATGCTGTTGGTCAAGAGATCATACTTTAAAGAAACACCACCCCCAAAAAAAATTTTTTTTAAGTTTTTTGATTGAGTTTTTCTCCCCAAACTGCTATCTGGTCTGCACTCTTCATGAGTTCTACTGGACAATTTGGCTACCACAAATATCCTTAATAAGTCATGTTAAAAATCTAGAGCAGAATAGGCTTGCAGCAACTTTCCTTTCCTAGAATCTTGACCTGAAAAATTTTACCTTTCTAGAGCTAAAGATGCCTCCAAAAGCCTTCAACCCACTGGGAATTTTTTTGTTCATCCCACAAAACAAGTCTACCTCTCAGCAACTTCTGGGAAAATTTGTGAATAATGCATTCTATGGAGAATGTAATAGCCCTGTGGAGTGTCAACTTGCACAGGCAAAACTATATTCCCTGGAATTCACTTTCTATTATCTTTTCAGATAAGTGGACTACTGGAAATAATCTCTTGTGAGACTTAAGATGGAAGGGAAATAACAGCCATTGCATTGCACACACACCACTCTCAGTTATTCAAACACGAATACAGGTGTTGCTGCAAAGTTGTTGCGGAGATATACCAGAATACCCTAATCAGTTGGCTTTAAGTTAGGTGAATTATCTGGGGTGGGCCTGACTTAATCGGTTAAAAGACCTTAAAAGGGGCTTAGGGCTTCCTTGGAAAAAGAAAGACTCATACCTCTAGAAACCAGCTTCATCCCATGCCTGGGCAGATTCCAGCATGCTCGTGATTTTTACTTTCTCTGACTGTCCACTCTGTGAACTTTGGACTTGCCTAGCCAGCCTCCACAGTTATGTAAGCCAATCCCTTGAATGTGTATGTGTATGTATATATCTCTCCTAATGGTTTTGTGTTTGTGATTGAATCTTGACTAATAAAGAAACCAATGTGTTTTCTCCATTTATTTTACTATGTCATTATTGTATTCTGCAAGGAATTTGGGGTGTTAGCAATAAGCACTAGAAATGGAAATAAGACACAAATCAGACACTGCAAAAATGGAAGTATAATATGATGTTACTACAGAAGCCCAGTGAAAATCTGTATGTAATCTTAGACTGACTATATTACTTTTTAAGAAAATACGAGACACAAGTAGTATGAGATATTGCTGAACTAAAAAATTAGAAATGTGTAATAAATGGTAAAAATGTTAGAAGCATTTCTAAATGCTTCTAAAGCAAGAATAAAAAGGAGTACGCAATCCCCCTGCTCCTTCCATATTGAGTATTGTACCAAAGGTCACAGCCATGCAATAAGAAGAAAAGATAATTAAAAAATAGGAAGCATGAATGGTATTACAATTTGCATAGAAAGTATAAGAGAATCTACAGAGAATTTGTTAGTCTATAAAGATTTCAACAAGATTGATAGATACAAGTTCAAAATAAAGAGATAAGCAAAAATTATAAAAAATTATGGAATTTTTTATGAGTATAAAATGATGAGTTCATGCCCTTTGTAGGGACATGGATGAAGCTGGAAATCATCTTTCTCGGTAAACTATTGCAAGGACAAAAAACCAAACACCGCATGTTCTCACTCATAGGTGGGAATTGAACAATGAGAACACATGGACACAGGAAGGGGAACATCACACTCTGGGGACTGTTGTGGGGTGGGGGGAAGGGGGGAGGGATAGCATTAGGAGATATACCTAATGCTAAATGACGAGTTGATGGGTGCAGCACACCAACATGGCACATGTATACATATGTAACTAACCTGCACATTGTGCACATGTACCCTAAAACTTAAAGTATAATAATAATAAAATAAAAAAAAATAAAAATAAAAATAAAAAATTGTTAAGCACAACATTTTGCTGACGACTTTTTTTTCTTTGTAGGTTTGTAGTGGCTTAAATATGTGCTTAGTACTTATTTCAGACAAGCAGTACTCTGTTCTTCAGCCATTAATGCTCCTGCAAATTTTCCTTGATCTCTGGTCTTCCATTTATAGAAAAGGCACTTCCTGGTTAGTTCTCTCTCTTTTTTTTTTCTCCTGAAGGTTGGACTGTTTGTTTCAAGCTCTGAAATATCCCACCTTTCTGAGCCTATGTTATTAAATTTTTTGTTTACTTCAAGCCTTAATTATTAGTATAACTAGAACAACACTCTGGAAAAGTTGCATTTATTTTCCTGACATTTTAAGAGTCTCATTTAAATAGTGGTCATGTGGCTTTTAAAGTAGGTGTCTTTTTCACTGAATTCTGCCTTTACATATTAGCTATACAATATGATGAAAAATCCTAAAATATTTCAGGCTACAAACTTCATGAGTCTTAAAATATTTGCCACTATATTCCAAATCAATGTCTGGAAGTGATAAACAATATCTCCTGAACTTAATGTATTCACATATCTTGGCACACGATCTGAACTCTACACACCACTCCAAGTGCTTGTTCATGATTTCTTCCTTGATTTCCAGAGAAATGGCCTGGCAGAATTCTGTAACCAAGACTTCCAATATAACACTGACTTTTATAACTATGACCCTTCACAGAACATTCTCAGAATTTTCTCTTTGCTAGAGATTCTTGTCATATGCTGGAATTAGTTGAGACAAGCAGAACAGTTGACTCTAGGAATTTTTATAAATATAAAATTTGTTAGAATGCATATCCACCTTCTAAGAGTAAGAGTTTCCCATTTTCTCCTTTTCCTTTGAAATTTCTCTGGGAATTTCAGATTATGTTTTCTGTACATATTCCCTAGGCTTATAAGGAAGGAACCAGTTCTGTTGCTCAAGTGTAAGTCTTCTGCAGTAAGGATAACATAGTGACTAAATTCAATCTTGAACATTCATTGTCCTTTTTGACTCCTCCTAAGCAATCTTCTCCATTTTACCTTCCCCTTGAACACACAAATACACACACACACACCTACACACACAGCTTAGCCTTATCTTGGCAAAGTAAGTAGCATTCTACAACTCATTGATTTGATGCTGGGCAAGTCATTGGGTGCCCATGTGTTCTCTCCATATGGAAACATTCTACCTCATCTTATGTGTGTTCAGCATGTGTTGTTCAAAATGCTTTTACAGACATTATAACATGTAATTTGTCCAACCCCTCTGTCAAGTATAGAAAGCAGATGTCATTATTTTCATTTCACAGTGGGGATAATTTCCTTGCTTTGGAATTACTGAGATCAAGAAGGTCTCCTGTCCCTTAGCTTCTCTGACCAAGGATAAACATCTTGGCAGCTAAATCTGCCAACATAACATATTTCTACCACTAGCTGATTCCCCCAGGAATTGCATCTACTTAACATTCCTTCCTCATACTCACAGCTGCTGGATTACCAGACAAGTTTCTGACCATGGTCAGTGGTTGTGGGTTCTTCTTTCCAGCAACCCTATTTGGTCACTTTGTCCCAGAACTCCTTAGTTTTCACTCCATAAATTATAGGACTGAGCATTGGAGGTACAAGGAAGTAAAGGTTGCCAAGAATGATGTGGACATGGGGTGGAATGCCTTGGCCAAAGCGGTGAGCGAGAAAAGAGAAAAGTGAGGGAGTATAAGAAATAAGCATGACACAGATGTGTGTGGTGCAGGTGTTGACTGCTTTGTGGTGGGCTTCCTTAGAAGAGAGATGCATTATAGCCTGGATGATTAGCACATAAGATGAAGCAATAGCTGAGAGATCCAGCCAGCAACCAACAAGGCCACCACCAGGCCATATATCCTGTTGACTGTAGTATCTACACAAACCATCTTCACCACAGCCATGTGCTCACAGGAGGTGGTGGGGATGACACGATTGGCATGATAGGGCATTTGCTGAAGGAGGATGGGCATGGGGAGAATAAAGAGGATAGCTCTCACCAAACTCACTAAGCCAATGAGTCCAGTGCAACTATTGGAAAGGATGGTGGCATAGCGCAAGGGCTTGCAGATGGCCACATAGTGGTCAAAGGCCATGGTCATCAGGACAGCTGACTGCATGGCAGAGATGGAGTGGATGAAGAACAGCTGAACCAGGCATCCTTCATAGCTGATCTCACTCTGGCCAAACCAGAAAATGCACAGCACCTTGGGAATGGTGGTTGTAGACATGCCCAGGTCTGTGAGGGCCAACAGACAGAGGAGCAGGAACATGGGTTTGTGCAGGGAGCGCTCTGTGGAGATGGTGAGGAGGATGGTGCAGTTCCCAAGCACCATAACGAAATACATGGAGGAGAAGGGGATAGATATCCATCTGTGTTTGTCCTCCATGCCAGGAATTCCTTGGAGAATGAAGAAAGAAGGGTGGCCCTGTGAGGCATTGCAAGCAGTCATGGTGGCACCCTGCCGAAGTACTTGTGGAGAACAACAAAGAGGCTACATGAGCTTCAATTTAAAAAAAGAGCTTCAACATGGAAAACAAAGATCGAAATGTTATACACACAAATGATTCTGAAATCATGACGCTATGTATCATAGGGTATAGTTGTAATAGTACAGTAGCAATAATGAAGTATAACTTCATTCATATCCAAGAGGATATATTTTATGCTAAATGTTTTTATTAAGGACAAAATGATTCATTATTAATAAAATATTAAATAAATTTTAATATATTAAGAAATAAACATGTATCAACTTAAAGAACAGAACTTGAAGTATGTACAGCAAAAATGCATGGCATACAAAGAGGAGCTGACAAAATGCAATATACTCCTTTCGGAAACCAAAAGATGAAATGTATTCAACACAACAGATTTTTTTTTAATTAAGATGACTTAAAAGCTTATAGTAGAATTATGCATCCAAAAATTAAAGAATACACATTTTCAGCAGATACAGGATATGAGGGAGTGGGAACCTTATTGATGAGAATGGTGCAATGATGATGAAGAATGAAGTGGGCAATGGGGTGCTGGACAGCTGAGGCTCACCAGAATATGAACATAAAGCCCACCCTCATCAAGAACACTTACCTGAAAGAGAGGCAGTGAGAGGATAGGCAGCTGGTCCCAGACACATTCTGAGAATGTGTATGTGTGAGTGTGTACATAGGTATGTAGGTATATCTTAAACACCCATATGACTCTTGGAGAGCACACCCGTGGCCTTGCATCTCTCCATACTTCACTTCTGGGCACCCAGAATCCACGGTGTGGTCTTTTAAGTAACCTAAGTAAAGGCCCTCAGGGTGCCCAGCATTAGCTCTTTGCTTACTTCTGCCAACCCCAACCTTCCACCTCCCAAAAGACAAGGCACAACTATTATTATGTGTAAAACTGACCCTGGAGGTTGCCTGAGCTCCCAAGAGATGAGGATAATTAGTCTTAGGAATTCAGGAAATGTTCCAGACTTTGCCAATCTTGGAGGAGTTTGAAGAGAGAGAGGGTGAAGATAAAACTGAATCAATGGATGGATGGATAAATAAGCAAACTGTGGAGTATATGTAGAATGCGAATATTGTTCAGGCTTAAAAAAGGAGGATATCCTGCCATTTGACGTAACATAAATGGACCCGGAGGAGATGATACTGAATTAAATAAGCCCATCACAGAGAGACAAATACCACATGACCTCACTTACATGTGAAATTTGGAAAAACGGGGGGTCAAACATATAGAGAATAAAACGATTACCAGGGTCGGGGTCACAGAGAGGAAATAGAGATATTAGTCAAAAGATACAAAATAGCAAACATGCAGAATGAACAAGTCAAAACACCTAATGTACAACATGGGCACTATAGTTAATAACAGTATATTGTATCAGGATTTTTGTTGAATGAGTAGATTGTAGCTGCTTTCGCTACATGAGGAAAAATGGATAACTATGTGAGATGATGAATATGTTAATTTGTTCCACTACAGTGGAACATATATATACTACAGATATAGATATGTTATAACATCGTGTTGTATACCTTAAATATACACAATAAAATTTATTTTTAAAACAAAGTTGAATCTGATAACTAGATTGGGGACTAGCAGTTTTGGCATTCTTTTTTTTTTCTGTAAAAAGAAAACAATCCAATTTTTATTTTTTTTTATTATTATTATACTTTAAATTTTAGGGTACATGTGCACAATGTGCAGGTTAGTTACATATGTATACATGTGCCATGCTGGTGTGCTGCACCCACTAACTCGTCATTTAGCATTAGGTATATCACCTAATGCTATCCCTCCCCCCTCCCCCCACCCCACAACAGTCCCCAGAGTGTGATGTTCCCCTTCCTGTGTCCATGTGTTTTCGTTGTTCAATTCCCACCTATGAGTGAGAATATGCGGTGTTTGGTTTTTTGTCCTTGCGATAGTTTACTGAGAATGATGATTTCCAATTTCATCCATGTCCCTACAAAGGACATGAACTCATCATTTTTTATGGCTGCATAGTATTCCATGGTGTAGATGTGCCACATTTGCTTAATCCAGTCTATCATTGTTGGACATTTGGCTTGGTTCCAAGTCTTTGCTGTTGTGAATAGTGCCGCAATAAACATATGTGTGCATGTGTCTTTATAGCAGCATGATTTATAGTCATTTGGGTATATACCCAGTAATGGGATGGCTGGGTCAAATGGTATTTCTAGTTCTAGATCCCTGAGGAATCGCCACACTGACTTCCACAATGGTTGAACTAGTTTACAGTTCAGTACCGTAAACTACTGTTTCAGTACTGTTTACTACTGTAAACAGTACTGTAAACTACTGTTTCAGTACTGTTTACCAACAGTGTAAAAGTGTTCCTGTTTCTCCACATCCTCTCCAGCACCTGTTGTTTCCTGACTTTTTAATGATTGCCATTCTCACTGGTGTGAGATGGTATCTCATTGTGGTTTTGATTTGCATTTCTCTGATGGCCAGTGATGGTGAGCAATTTTTTCATGTGTTTTTTGGCTGCATAAATGTCTTCTTTTGAGAAGTGCCTGTTCATGTCCTTCGCCCACTTTTTAATGGGGTTGTTTGTTTTTTTCTTGTAAATTTGTTTGAGTTCATTGTAGATTCTGGATATTAGCCCTTTGTCAGATGAGTAGGTTGCAAAAATTTTCTCCCATTTTGTAGGTTGCCTGTTCACTCTGATGGTAGTTTCTTTTGCTGTGCAGAAGCTCTTTAGTTTAATTAGATCCCATTTGTCAATTTTGGCTTTTGTTGCCATTGCTTTTGGTGTTTTAGACATGAAGTCCTTGCCCATGCCTATGTCCTGAATGGTACTGCCTAGGTTTTCTTCTAGGGTTTTTATGGTTTTAGGTCTAACGTTTAAGTCTTTAATCCATCTTGAATTGATTTTTGTATAAGGTGTAAGGAAGGGATCCAGTTTCAGCTTTCTACATCTGTCTAGCCAGTTTTCCCAGCACCATTTATTAAATAGGGAATCCTTTCCCCATTGCTTGTTTTTCTCAGGTTTGTCAAAGATCAGATAGTTGCAGATATGTGGCGTTATTTCTGAGGGCTCTGTTCTGTTCCATTGGTCTATATCTCTGTTTTGGTACCAGTACCATGCTGTTTTGGTTACTGTAGCCTTGTAGTATAGTTTGAAATCAGGTAGCGTGATGCTTCCAGCTTTGTTCTTTTGGCTTAGGATTGAGACTTGGCGATGTGGGCTCTTTTTTGGTTCCATATGAACTTTAAAGTAGTTTTTTCCAATTCTGTGAAGAAAGTCATTGGTAGCTTGATGGGGATGGCATTGAATCTATAAATTACTTTGGGCAGTATGGCCATTGTCACAATATTGATTCTTCCTACCCATGAGCATGGAATGTTCTTCCATTTGTTTGTGTCCTCTTTTATTTCATTGGGCAGTGTTTTGTAGTTCTCCTTGAAGAGGTCCTTCATGTCCCTTGTAAGTTGGATTCCTAAGTATTTTATTCTCTTTGAAGCAATTGTGAATGGGAGTTCACTCATGATTTGGCTCTCTGTTTGTCTGTCGTTGGTGTATAAGAATGCTTGTGATTTTTGTACATTGATTTTGTATCCTGAGACTTTACTGAAGTTGCTTATCAGCTTAAGGAGATTTTGGGCTGAGACAGTGGGGTTTTCTAGATATACAATCATGTCATCTGCAAACAGGGACAATTTGACTTCCTCTTTTCCTAATTGAATACCCTTTATTTCCTTTTCCTGCCTAATTGCCCTGACCAGAACTTCCAACAATATGTTGAATAGGAGTGGTGAGAGAGGGCATCCCTGTCTTGTGCCAGTTTTCAAAGGGAATGCTTCCAGTTTTTACCCATTCAGTATGATATTGGCTGTGGGTTTGTCATACATAGCTCTTATTATTTTGAGATACGACCCATCAATACCTAATTTATTGAGAGTTTTTAGCATGAAGGTTGTTGAATTTTGTCAAAGGCCTTTTCTGCATCTATTGAGATAATCATGTGGTTTTTGTCTTTGGTTCTGTTTATATGCTGGATTACATTTACTGATTTGCATATATTGAACCAGCCTTGCATCCCAGGGATGAAGCCCACTCAGTCATGGTGTATAAGCTTTTTGATGTGCTGCTGGATTCGGTTTGCCAGTATTTTATTGAGGATATTTACATCAATGTTCATCAAGGATATTGGTCTAAAATTCTCTTTTTTGGTTGTGTCTCTGCCCGGCTTTGGTATCAGCATGATGCTGGCCTCATAAAATGAGTTAGGGAGGTTTCCCTCTTTTTCTATTGATTGGAATAGTTTCAGAAGGAATGGTACCAGTTCCTCCTTGTACCTCTGGTAGAATTCAGCTGTGAATCCTTCTGGTCCTGGACTCTTTTTGGTTGGTAAGCTATTGATTATTGCCACAATTTCAGCTCCTGTTATTGGTCTATTCAGAGATTCAACTTCTTCCTGGTTTAGTCTTGGGAGGGTGTATGTGTCGAGGAATTTATCCATTTCTTCTAGATTTTCTAGTTTATTTCCATAGAGGTGTTTGTAGTATTCTCTGATGGTAGACTACTGGGTACATAACGAAATGAAGACAGAAATAAAGATGTTTTTTGAAACCAACGAGAACAAAGACACAACATACCAGAATCTCTGGGACACATTCAAGGCAGTGTGTAGAGGGAAATTTATAGCACTAAATGCCCACAAGAGAAAGCAGGAAAGATCCAAAATTGACACCCTAACATCACAATTAAAAGCACTAGAAAAGCAAGAGCAAACACATTCAAAAGCTAGCAGAAGGCAAGAAATAACTAAAATCAGAGCAGAACTGAAGGAAATAGAGACCAAAAAAACCCTTCAAAAAATTAATGAATCCAGGAGCTGGTTTTTTGAAAGGATCAACAAAATTGATAGACCGTTAGCAAGACTAGTAAAGAAAAAAAGACAGAAGAATCAAATAGACGCAATAAAAAATGATAAAAGGGATATCACCACCGATCCCACAGAAATGCAAACTACCATCAGTTTTGTTTATTTCTGCAAGCTGAGAAATCTGGGCAAAACAAGGCCCTCTAACTCACCCCCAGACCCACTGAGAGAGGCAGGGGAAAAGCACCCTAGATGAGTCACAGAGGCTGTCTATAAAGATTTAGACATGTTTTCTGGGGTGCAGGAAGAGATTGGAGAGCTGAGTGGAGCAGTGGCCCAGGTAGATGGCTGTTTTATGGCCAGAACTTCTGGGAACCGTGCAGGGATGGCTGATTTGAGCTCAGCTTAGGCTTCCCACAGGCTTTCTGGCACTGCCCAGAAGGATGTGGTTGCTGCTGCTGCTTGTGTGCTGTTATCAAGGCAGCAGCCGCTGTCAGGGCGCTCTAAAGAATGAGGTCTGTAATAAGTCACCCTATACTGTGCTAGTCTTGCTTACTAACTATAGCAAGATTACCTCTGGAGGGCATTTACGTAAGTCTCTAAGGTCTCTTTAGGGCTGCTGGGCAAAGTGATCTCGAGGAGCTCTACACCTCTTTTCTTTCCTATGAAATTGCAACAACTTGCTGCACTACAGGGTGTTTATCAGGGCCAGAGACCTGAGTAGAGTTATGTGGCTTGCAGAAGCCCACTGCCCATTCCCATTGACAGAGGGCCCTAAGCAGTGGCTAGAGAACTGTTTCACTAGCTTTCTCCAAACCCCTCTGTAACGAACAGACACCCACTAATTTCCACCTCTTTATACTCATGCCTTTATAAAATTTCTTCCTTTTTAGAGTAGGCAGAATTTCTGAATTCCTTATAAGCAACATTATGTGGCAAAAGTGATGGGATGTTACTACCATGGTTGTCTTATATTATGTAAGGCCTTCTCACTAAAATAGTCTTCTTCTCCTGTTGGCCTTGAAGAGGCAACAACCATAGTATGAACTACCTATTGAGAGGTTCATGTAGCAAGAAACTTCAGGCAGTCTTCAGGATCAGAGGGCCTAGGTCCTACACGAGCAAGGAACTGAATTCTACTAATAACCTAAGTTAGCTTGGAAATAGGTCCTTCCCTACTCTGACCTCCACATGAAAACTCATCCCAGCTGGCACTGTGAGTTCATTATGGAGAGATCGTGAAGGAGAAAACCCATCTAAGCTGGGTCCAGACTTCTGATCCACAGATACTGTAACATAACAAATGTTATCTTACATTTATCTTGCTACTAAATTTGCAATAGCCTATTTTAATGCAGCAAAGAAAGCTAATGCAACTTTTACCTGCATGGGTAAAATACTGTACATTAATATAATCTTTATTAATAATTCAATTGAAAAATGTTAAGGACTTTGATTCTTTACTCAGATTATTCTATTTCTTAAAACAGTTAATTATTTCAAAACTAAATTAGTATGCATTCTTAAAATTATTTTTCTCAAGTCAGAGAAAAGAATCCAAGAAAAAAAATAACATATACCACTCTTGTGTCAGTGCATATGTTCCATGAAATAGCAGAAGTTATTACAAATATACTATTATTTAATTCTCATAATATCACTGCCAGGTAGGTCTTATAAGGGCCACTAGGTGGCTATGTCATCATTATGTAAAATTCCACCTGTTTTCAGAATGCAAGTTTGTAACCATTCAATTATAAAGTTCATCCTCTACACCAAGAGGAGGGAACATTTTCGTCATGTCATCTGCAATAGCCTACTTGTCATAAAGTGCTTCCATGTCCTTCTTCCTCATTTATGGCTATATGTATTCAGATTATCAATTTACATTTGATGGCACCTAAAGTTTTTCTTAAAACTCCTGCAGATCAGCATTTCCTGGGCTCTCCCTTCTGTCCCCATCTCCTGGGAAATTGGCTGCGGCCTTCTCCATGGCAGTGTGGTACAGAGGAGTGAGCATAGGTGCTTAGTAACACAGGCCTGGTATTAATCCTGCCTCTTCTACTCAATAGCTTTGGGACCATCAGGAAAACTCTAACAGCTTATTGACTCCTTCAACCCCTTTATATAAATTTCTCTTTGGCCAGGCACGGTAGCTCACGCCTGTAATCCCAGCACTTTGGGAGGCCAAGACAGGCAGATCACCTGAGGTCAGGAGTTCGAGATCAGCCTGGCCAACATGGCGAAGCCCCATCTCTACCAAAAATACAAAAAAAATTAGCCGGGCATGGTGGCACGTGCCTGTAATCCCAGCTACTCGGGAGGCTGAGGCAGGAGAATTGCTTGAACCCAGGAGGCAGAGGTTGCAGTGAGCAGAGATTGTGCCATTGCAGTGAGCCGAGATCGTCCCATTGCACTCCAGCCTGGGCAACAACAGCAAAATTCCGTCTCAGAAAAAAAAAAAAAAATCTCCTTTTTATGATATTTGTACAGATTATCTTGGATAATGTTCATGTGTGTATCTATAATATATTTATACATATTATTATATGTATATATACCTATATGTATAGATATATGAATGAATGTGTATACATGTCTATATCAATCTCAAGCCAGGCACTTTCACACTATTCCTTTCTTCAAAGTCCAACAAATCTTGATGTGAATTCTGTACAATGGCATAACCTGCCCTAATTTATAATGTATACATGATGGTTAATTTTACATGCTAATTTGACTGGTCATAGATTGCCCGGATTAAACATTATTTCTGGTGGTATTTGTAAGGGTATTTCTGGTTGTATTTGTAAGGGTGTTTCTGGTTGTATTTGTAAGGGTGTTTCTGAAAAAGATTAGCACCTGAATAGCTGGACTCAGTAATGGCTACCTCTCCAAAGCTTGCCCTCCCCCAAGTTGCTGGACATCATCTAATCCATAAAGGATCTGAGTAGGAGAAAGGGTTGAGGAAGAAGATATTTGCTTCTTTTCCTGCCGCAGTACTTGAGCTGAGACATGTCACCTCATCTTTTTCTGCCTTTGTACTGGCATTTATACCATCAGCTCCCTGGTTCTTAGGGCTTCAGAGACACACTGACTTATATCACCAGCTTTTGGGTCTCTGGTTTCCAAATGGCAGATAATGGGAAGTCTTAGCCTCCATAATCAAGTAAGCCAATTCCTCATAATAAATACATATCTCTTATTGTTCTGTTTCTCTGGAGAACCCCGACTAATACAATATATTTCTTCAAGAATGTTTTGTGTCTTTGCTATCCTAGGTAGTTCTACTACTCATCCTGTGTTTGAAAAAAGACTTAAAAAAAAAAAAAAAGAAAAGTACCTAGGATGGTAAATGCAATGGTACACACAAGTGTTTCATTACGAGAAACAGATCTGAACAGCATAAGGCTGTCTCTTATCAAGGACAGCTGAGCCTAGACATGACCTTCTTTACTGGACATATGGAAACTCATATTATCTGCAGCAAGATTTTGGAAACTGAAGAATGAGACTTCAGTAGAGCCAGCTATTGTTTTATTGAAGCAAAAAGAAAACAGAACAAAAACAAAAAATTGTTTCCCAAGACATTGAAATGGCTGACATCTTTTCAGTAATAATCAGAACAATATTTATTTTTATATTTAAAATTCATAGAAAAGTGCCTTACATTTAATAAAAGTTTGTTTCTCAAAGTGATCAGAGGAATTAGATATAGTCTTGAACACCAATATTAATTTGAGGAAAATACACCAAAATACATTAAGTAAATTATTTAAGATCATAGAGCTTGTAAGTGAAAAGATAAAATTTGACCTCAGAAACTCTGAGCATTAAAAATCCACTATTAGCAAATAAATTACTATGGACTTCTTGCTTTAATTTTGTGATGAATATGGGGTGTCACTGGTAAACCAACACATTCTGAAGGATACATTACTTAGTGATAGATTCTTATGTACTTTGCTAGATAACGTGGATATGAGTTGACAAGTTTCTCTTTCTTCAATCTTTTAAGGGGCAGAGGAAATGAGGAAGAAAAGAAAAGGAATTACAGCAATACTGTTCTTTCTATAGGAAGGATTAGATATGTTTCCTTTGCAAATATAAAAAAAATAATAATGTTTACTACTAGTGAAACCAAGGTATTAGGAAAATAATGTACAAGCATCTCTTGCAAGAAAGGGTAAGATTGTTATGAGTGAAATCGTGCCTTCCTCAAATTTATATGTTGGAGTTTTTATTCCCAATACCTCCAAATATTATCTTATTTGGAAATAAGGTCTTTGTAGAGAATATAATGTTAAAATGATTTCATTAAGGCATTAGCGGTGGGCCCTGAGCCAGTATGACTGGTGTCTTAATAAAAAGGGAAAACTTGGGCACAGAGATGTACATAAAGACAATGTGAAGAGTCATAGGGACAAGATGCCTTCTACAAGCCAAGGAGAGAGGCATGGAACAGAGCCCTTCCTTGCAGACCTCAGAAAGAACCAACTCTGCTGGAATCTAGATTTGGGATTTCCAGCCCACAGTACGGCAATACAATTACAGTTTAAATCAGCAATCTATGATGCTTTGCTATGGAAGCCCTAGCAAATGAATACAAAGACATTCTAAGTAAAAGAAGGGGAAAGAAAGGAAGAGATGGTCTCAGTAGAGATGAACTCAGGTGCAGAATCTGAGTCTCAGCACAAGGGCTACTATGCAGAAGTGGGTAAAGGAATGAGAACACTCAGGAGCTCGGTGGGCACACAGTCATGGGGACTAGGCAGTTCCAAGGATTGAAATACGGATAAGCAGGTCGAGAAAAGCGACATCCAGAGAACTTGTAGATGAGTGCTCCGTGGTTTGTGACATTGAAAAATGAGACAATGCCTGCCTCATAGTCTAGGAAAACCCCAATACGACAGGGAGGCACAGCCATAAAGAGAGTCAAAACCTTGGGATCAGAAGAGGAGGAGTCCTCAAAAGCATTATATTCACATGTATTCTGTAATCCTATAACCCAGTAGCCATATTGAGGTCTATATCTGGAGTAAACTTTTGAATAATTTACACTTGGATCAAAAGCAAACCCAGAGCTCTTCCTTTTATTCAGACTACTTATTTTACTGTGTACGCCCAGGATCCAGGCAATCTTTCCAGACACATCTACTTCCCAGTAATATTTCCCCGAAGAGAAATATTGGCAGCCGAAGACACCAAAAGCAGAAAAATCACATGGATTTGAATTCTTAAATGTGCAGGTGCGTACAGTTTTCACTTGTCTCTGATCCACAGAAATAGCAACATTCGAAGTGGCACTGCCTGGATTCAGCATCACGTCCACTGTAGAAAAAATTACCAAGTCAAGTGAAGGATATGGGATAGGTGTGTCTTACAGCATTGAGAAGAGACATATTGAAAATGAAACTTGTGTCGATATCAAACGGAACTTGTGTTGATAGTCAGAGGTTAGTAGGACCCTTAAGAAATACAGGGTGTAAGACTATAAAAATTAGCCAAGCGTGGTGGCACACGCCTGTAATCCCAGCTACTTGGGAGGCTGAGGCAGCAGAATCGCTTGAACCCAGGAGGCAGAGGTTGCAGTGAGCCGAGACCGCGCCATTGCACTCCAGCCTGGGCAACAATAGCAAAAATCTATCTTAAAAAAAAAAAAAAAAAGAACTACATGGTTTAAGCATGTTTGGGGAGGAACACATGAGACTCAGATTATGAGATCTAATAGTAACCACAATTCTGAAAGGAAGTGATTTGAAAACCCCATATCATCTTACCCCAGTAGTACTGGACATCTGTCAGCTCTGAAACGACAAAAGTTTCAGTGATGTTGTTAGAAGCAAATAAGTAAGTACTGACACCTGTCTCTTCTCCAGAGTAGGGAAAGGAAAGGGGGAATACTGGGATTCTTTGCACTGGTGAATGAGAGGATGAATCAGACACCTGGTCATTCCCCCTAAGACAGGACCACATCTACAGCACAGGATTTTCCTCCTTCTCTGGCCCACCTCCTCTCCTATATCCTAACCTAAAAAAACCTCCCGCTTCCCTATTGAGCCCTGATACTAAGAAATCCACATTCACAGCCTTCCCCTGAATCCCCTTACCTTTAAGAACTTGCAGCATCCCACTCAGATCTGGTACTCGGAATACACTCTTTAGTTTCTTGGAAACAGATTTTGGCTTCTTCAATGTCCAGCTTTCACTCCTAGTGATAACAAAAATTGATAACCTTTACACCTTTGCCCTATTTCTCTCCATCCAAGATCACTGTCTCTTTCACCTTTCACCATACTTGCTGACGCACTTGGACCCTCTTCCCTGAGGACAGTAGAGGGGAGATGCCTGACACTGGAGTCCAGAGAAATGTGCTCATGTCTACCTGTCTGTGTGTAATCTTGGGAAGGTCTTCCCCTCTGTGTAATCTTGGGAAGGTCTTCACTTCAACGATGTTCGCTTTCTTACTTTTAAAATGCAATAATTAACCCCATGCTTTCTACCTCTTAAAAATGAATATAAAATTAGATAAAATAATAATGCTTTTGTTTGTTTGTTTGTTTGTTTGTTTTGAGATGGGGTCTCACTCTGTTATCCAGGCTGGAGTGTAGTGGCGCGACCTCGGCTCACTGCAACCTCTGCCTCCCAGGTTCAAGCCATTCTCCTGCCTCAGCCTCCCAAGTAGCTGGGATTACAGGTGCCTGCTACCACATCCAGCTAATTTTTTTGTACTTTTAGTAGAGACAGGGTTTCACCATGTTGGCCAGGCTGGTTTTGAACTTCTGACCTCAAGTGATCCGCCTGCCTCGGCTTCCCAAAGTGCTAGCATTGTAGGCGTGACCCACTGCACCCAGCCAATAATGCTTTTAAAAGATATTCAGTGCCTCTAAAAAACTTATTTAATATTTAGAAAAGTCATTGCCATCTCAGTGGGTCCACCAGGAAGAGGCCAGAGATGTGGGTTCCTAGACAGGTGGTCATTAAGGAGGCCATAGAATCTGTCTCCTGAGTTGTTGAGAGATATCAAAGTAGGATCCTATATTGAAGAGCTAAAGGGTTTCCAAAATCTGTTATCCCAATATGAGACCTAGAGAATAATGTCTGAGGTTTCAAGTTATTTGGGGAAAGACAAATTACGATGACTAAATTAATTAATAGTGGTCTGATTTTCATGTGTTTAAAAAAACTTTGATGTTGCCAAGTAGGTGGGCAACTTTAGACACAAGAATATTATTTTTTCCTACAAGACGGTAAAGTATGTGAGCAAGAAAAGGTTATGCTAGCACCAGGACCAAAGCCACTATTCCTCAAGACTTGAATCTATTTTTCTAGAAATCTAAAAAGCACCACCTAGAAAGTTATTGTTTATTTTATTCTCAGGGAGGAAAACAAACATAAAGGCGCTGTCTCTGAAAAATTTGGAGTCTGGCATATAAAAAGGGCAGAGCCTCACTGCAATAAGACAGGCATCTATGCAATATGGAAACAACAGAGACAGAGGTTTGAATAAAGTGAGTGAAGTCATGGGGTTCTGATATTGCAAACTCTTATTCCTAAGGCCTCCGTCGACCCTAACTCTGTGATCTCCCAACACCAAAATTTCTTACAATTGAAAACTTTAATCTGTGACTAGCAATTTGGGACAATTTAATACACAAATTTCCCAGCCTTTTGATTTTTTAAGTTGTTCTGATTGAAGGAAGATATCTCTCAGGACTATAATTCTCTTTTCAGACAAATAAGACCACATCTCTCTTCCACATATACCTTTTCATGACGTCAATCACATCCTGGGGAAAAGATAGAAAACATGAGTCAAGATAGGGTTGCCAGATTTAGAACATAAAAGTGGCTAGTTCAATTAGAATTTGGGATAAACAATATATTTTTTGTTATATATATGACCCTTATAATATTTAAGATATTCTTATACTAAAAATATTACATTTCTTTTATCTGAAATTAAACTTTAACTGAGCATCCTGTATTTTGTCTAGCAATGCTCAAAAAAGTAATAGGCCCTCCTATCTTACAAAGTTTTATCCACCTTCCTCCCCACACTCTTACTATCCCTGGATATGGTGGGAATAAATAGATGGTCACAGACTGGGGACAAAGTGTGGAGATAAGATTCAGACTGACCACTGCAGAGGACTAAGATGAGGGTGTTAGGAAGATGCTTCAAGTATCTCAAGAAGGAATATATTTTAAAAAGAGGGAGGAGCTCTAATATTTTTATACATTTTTAATGAGAAAACCTCATTAATTCATTGTGTTTTTATTTTATACATCAACAGACACAAAACAGCGAAATACGTTTGCCCTATATTTTTTCAGGCTTTAGGGATCTAATGATGAAAATTAATAATAAAAGTCCTTAAGAAGTGTACTGTTGCCGTGAGCAAAAGCAAGCAAGCATTTCAACTAAAAGTTTGTCTGGCCTCCATGTACTCACTGTGTATGCTGACTAAACTCCACTGTAGGTGATCTCATACATTTTTCAGTATGAAACAAGCCACAGGACCAAGTAACTGAGTAGGTCTTAAATGTAACTTACTATTTCCCAACTATTTACACCCCACTGTCCCGAATAGTGTCAATATCCACTTAGTCATCATCTTTGAAACTATAAAATTTTATCCTGGATTCCAACATTTTATTAACCTAGACTAGTTTACATTTTTAACTGTTTTTAGCTATCTTTTCTTTCTCACCATAACCATTATTTCCTTTATTTTTTTGAACAAGTATGTACCAATATATTTGATCTCCCGCTGTCTGATCTGACCCCCTTTATACCAACAAAGACTTGACCTCCAGTTGACTTCACACCCTCAGAAATAGTTTCACTGCCTGTATTAGCTTTTTTGTTGTTGTAATATCTGACAAAACCAACTAAAACTGGTTTAAATTTTTAAAAAACAAATTCAAGGGGTCAAGTATAATTTTACTCATAGCTACATCTTTAAACTAAAATCTTGCCATCAGAATCTGGTTTTTCTTCTAAAAATTATATTTCATACCTATTATATTGACTTATTTTCAGATTAATTATGGCATCAGCTTGACTCTCCTGGTTTAAATTATTATCCCTGATATGATACCCATCAGAAAAGACAACGGCTCTTTTTACTCATGACAGTAAAATTCTAAGGCATGCAAACCATCGACTCCAATTGAGTCAAGTATATATCTTAAAATAATTACTGTAAAGTTGGTAAAAATATAAGAGTTGGATATAATGATTTGCCAGAACTGAGTAACATATACATGCCTAATGCTACTAATTTTGTCTACTTTAACCAACTGCAGGGAATGAGGCAGGGTAGGGATGGTTCCTCAAAAGTTATTATAAAGAAACAATCAAAAGGAATAGAGGTTAGACAGACAAACAAATATTGTCCTCTATGGTCCATTCCTCAGCTGTCTGCCACGTCTTCAGCCTTATTACCAAACTGTTTGCAAAAAATGGCACATTCCTCAGCTCTCTGCCACCTCTTCACCCTTATTACCAAACTGTTTGTGAAACAGGGCACAATATAATACAATGGCTACAATAACATTAAAAATAGATAACTTATACCATATAACCACTATAACTAAAAATAAATCAAAGACCTAAAGATATAAAACTCCTAGAAGAAAAGGGGAAAATTGCATGACATTGGATTTGGTAGTGATTTGTTGGCTATGATACAAAAAGTAAAGGCAATGTGAGAAAAAAATAAATAAACAGATCTTTACCAAAATGAAACTTTAAAAAAATCACTTTTAAGTTATGAAGAACACTATGAAGAGAGCGAAAAGGCAATCTACAGAATGGGAAAGCATATTTACAAATTATATGTCTGATAAGGTATTAATATCCAGAATCTATAAATGACTCCTAAAATTCAACAAGAAAATCAACATCCATTCAGATAAAACCTCTCAACAAACTGATAATAAAAGAGAACATCCTAAAAACTGATAAGAAACATGTATAAGTAGTATACAACTAATAACATAATTAATAGTGAAAGTCTGAATTACTTCCTCCTAAAATCAAGAAAAAGACTAGCGTGTGTGGTTTCACCACTAAGGTCAACATTGTATTGGAAGTTTTATCAAGTGCAATAAAGAAAAAAAAAGAAAGATAAAGAAGAAAAGAGTAAAAATAAAAAGAAATAAGACATCTAGCATGAAAGAGAAGTAAAACTATATTTGGTTTGGTAGAATGATTTATTTTCCTTTGGGTATATACCCAGCAGGGGGATTGCTGGGTCTAACAGTAGCTCTGTTTTAAGTTCTTTTAGAAACCTCCAGACTGCTTTCTACAATGGCTGAAATAATTTACATTTCTACCAACAGAGTACATGTTCCCATTACTCTGTAGCCTCACTAGCATCTGTTAATTTTTGACTTTATAATAATAGCCATTCTGACTGTTGTGAGATGGTATCTCGTTGTGGTTTTGATTTGCATTTCTCAGGTTATTAGCAATGATGAGCATTTTTTCATATGTTTGTTGGCCACCTGTATGTCTTCTTTGGATAAATGTCTGTTCATGACTTTTGCCCATTTTTAATGGGGTTCTTTGTTTTCTTGCTTGTAGCAAAGACATGGAATCAACCCAGGTATCCATCAATAGTAGACTGGATAAACAAAATGTGGTACATATACACCATGGAATACTACATAGTCATAAAAAAAATAAAATTTCCGGGCGCGGTGGCTCATGCCTGTAGTCCCAGCACTTTGGGAGGCTGAGGTGGGCGGATCACGAGGTCAGGAGATCGAGACTGTCCTGGCTAACAAGGTGAAACCCCGTCTCTACTAAAAATACAAAAAATTAGCCGGGCGTGGTTGCAGGCGCCTGTAGTCCCAGCTACTCGGGAGGATGCAGCAGGAGAATGGCCTGAACCCGGGAAGCAGAGCTTGCAGTGAGCCAAGATTGCGCCACTGCTCTCCAGCCTGGGTGACAGAGCAAGACTCCATCTCAAAAAAAAAAAGAAAAAAAAAGAATAAAATTATGTCCTTTGCAACAACATGGATGCAGCTGGAGGCCATAATCCTAAGCAAATTAACACGGGAACTGAAAATCAAGCACTGCATGTTCTCACTTATAAGTGGAAGCTAACTATTGAGCATACGTGGACATAAATATGGAAATAATAGACACTACAGACTACACTAGGGGAGGGAGGAGGGTGTGTGAGTTGAAAAACTACTGATTGGGTAATATGCTCATTACCTGGGTGATGGGATCTGTATCCCAAACCTCAGCATCACCCAATATTCCCATGTAACAAACCTGCACATATACTCCCTGTATCTAAAATAAAAGTTGCAGTTTTAAAATTAACTATATTTATTTACAGACAGCATGATTCAGTATGTAAATGATCTCAAAGAATATACACACACAAACACACAACTACTAAAACTAGTAAAAGTTCAGCATGTGGAATAAATATTAAAGTTTTGAAAGAATAACACCCATGACTCAAGAATTTTATATTCAGAAATTTTGTCCCGCAATAATGAAGGAAATACTTTGCCATAAACGTTAAAAGACATTATTCAGGGGGAAGAAGAGTATATGTCTGAAATTCAGATCTTCACAAAGAGAGAAAGAGCACTGAAAAAGAAGTAAAGGTAAATAAAATATTTTGTTTTTCTGATTCTCAACTAATATATAAGATAATGGCTTAAAGTAATAATATCAACAATGTAGTGGGCGATTACAGCTTATGGATAAGTGAAATGAATGACAGCAACGTTACTCAAGATTGAGGATACTCTGCTCTAAGGTACCTGCACTACATGTGAAGGGGTATAGTGTTATTTGTAATTAGACTTAGATTAGTTGTAAATGCATATTGCAAACTCCAGGGAAACCACTAAGCCTTTATATATATATGTATAGTGTTATTTATATTTTTAAAATATATTTTTATATATTTATAAAAAGTTTATATTTTTAAAATATTTTTATATTTCAAATATATTTGTATGTTTGTTTTATATTTATATATATACCTTTAGGCATATTAGTTATATTATTATTAGTTATATTAGTTATATTATTAGGCATATTAGTTATATTTATATATATACCTTTAGGCATATTAGTTATATATTATATATAACTATATATAATATAATATATATTAGTTATGTATACTAGTTATGTATATATAATATATAACTAATATATATTAGTTATGTATATGTAATATATAACTAATATATATTCGTTATGTATATGTAATATATAACTAATATATATTAGTTATGTATATTATATATAACTAATATAGCTATATTTGTGATGTATATTAGTAATATATAACTAATAAGCTAAGAGAGGAAAGAAAATTGAATAATATAAAATAATCAATTGAATAATACAAAATAGTTAAAAGAGGGCAGAAAAAGAGAGGAAGGGAAAAAAAAGCAAAGAGCAAGTACGGTCAATAGAAAACAGTGAAAAATGGTAGGCGTTTTAATTTTCTGGGGTTGCTCTAACAACGTAGCAGCACAAACTGTATGGTTTTTAAACAACCGAGATTTAGTCTCTCACAGTTCTTGAGGCTAGGTTCAAAATCAGGATATTGGTAATGTTGGTCCCTGCTGTAATCTGTTCCACGCTTCCCTATTAGCTTCTGGTGGTTGCTGGTACATTGATTTTGGGCTCTGAGCTTTCAGAACTATGAGACAATTTTTTTGTATGAGGTTTTAAGTTATAAAGTTTGTGACAATTTCTTACAGCAGCCACAGGAAATGATTACCGCTACAGTTGTACCTGAACAGCACACTATATAGCAACTGATTTAAATGGCATTCATAGAATATTCCATCTAAAGGCAAATATCTATTCTTCTCAAGCTCACATTGAAAATTAACCAAGCTATAACACATTCTATACCACAAAATACACGTTAACAAATGTAAACAATTGAACTCATACAAAATGTTTTCTTACGCAACAATAGAATTTAACTAGTAATCAGTAACAGACAGCTGTAATACTCCAAAATATTAAGCAACACTTTAAAAATAGGCTTAGTGGGTTTTATTGGTAAACTGATGAATTCTACCAAAAGTTGGAGAAGGAAATTATTAAAATTCTCCCCAAATTTGTTTCAGAAAATGAAAGGAGATGGACTATTTTGTAACACATTCTATGAGGTCAGCATTACCCTAATCCAGAGCCAAGTAAAGACATTATGAGAAAGGAAAACCAGAAACCAGTATCTCTCATGAACACAGATGCAAAAATTCTCAACAGTACGTTAGTAAAACAAATCCAACAAAATATATATAAAAATTGTGCACCACAAGTAAGTGGGATTTATTCAAGGTATGCAAGCTGGTTCAATCTTTGAAAATTATTAATGTAATCTCCCATATCAATAAAGAAGAAAAATCATATGATTATATCAACTGAGGCAGAAAAGCTATTCGACAAAATTCACACCATTCATGATAAAAAGTCTCAGCAAACTAGGAATAAAGAGGAAGTTTCTCGGCCGGGTGCATCTGAGGTCAGGAGTTCAAAACCAGCCTGCCCAACATGGCAAAACCCTGTCTCTATTAAAAATACAAAAATTAGCTGGATGTGGTGGTGGGCGGCCTGCAGTCCCAGCTGAGGCAGGAGAATCGCTTGAACCCGGGAGGCAGAGTTTGCAGTGAGCCGAAATCGTGCCACTGCACTCCAGTCTGGGTGACAGAACGAGACTGCGTCTCAAAAAAAAGAAAAAAAGAGGAAGTTTCTCAACTTCATTACAAATCTGAAAAAAAAAAAAAAAAAAAAAGACTCCTATAGCTAACATCATACTTATAAGTGAGAGACTGAGTACTTTCCCCCTAAGGTCAGAAAAAAGGAAAGGATATCCCCTCTCACCATCCCTGTTGAACATTGTACTAGAAGTCCTAGCTAGTGTAATAAAACAAGCAAAGACAAATAAAAACTATACAAACTGCTGGCCAGGCGCGGTGGCTCACGCCTTTAATCCTAGCACTTTGGGAGGCCAAGGCGGGCAGATTGCCTGAGCTCAAGAGTTCGAGACCAGCCTGGGCAACACAGTGAATCCCTGTCTTTACTAAAATACAAAAAAAATGTAGCCAGGTGTGGCGGTGTGCGCTAGTCCTGGGAGGCTGAGGCAGGAGAATTATTTGAACCTGAGAGGTGAAGGTTGCAGTGAGGTGAGATTGTGCCACCACATTCTAGCCTGGGTAACAGTAAGAGACTCCGTCTCCAAAAAAATACACCAAAAAAAAAAAACCATACAAACTGCAGAGTATGAAACAATTAACTTTATTCTCAGATGACATGATTCTCCATGTAGAAAATGCCAAAGAATTGACATTAAAAAAAAAACTCTTCTATGACTAATAAGTAATTATAGCAAGGTTGCAATATACAAGATTAAAATACTAAAGTCAGTTTCCTTTCTATGTGCCAGCAATGAAGAATTGAAATTTGAAATAAAAAAAAAATTACAATAGCACCAAAAGTAAAACAGAAAAAACTCTTTAAAAAGGTACAGAATCTACATGTGGAAATAATAAGCTTTTCAGCAGTGTTAGTTATTAGGAAAAAGCAAATCAAAACTGCATTGAGATACCATTATGTTCCCACTAGAAAGGCTGTAACTAAAAAAAAAAAAAAAAAGGAAATAATCAAGTATTAACAAGGATGTGAAGAACCTAGAAACTTTTTATATTGCTTTTTATAAGCTTTTGTATTGTTACTCATATAAAGTGAGTAACAACTTTGGAAAATAGTACGACAACTTAAAACTTATACATAAACAACATACAACACTCTTTTTTTTTTTTTTTTTTTTTTTTTTTTTTTTTTTTTTTGAGACGGAGTCTCGCTCTGTCGCCCAGGCCGGACTGCGGACTGCAGTGGCGCAATCTCGGTTCATTGCAAGCTCCGCTTCCCGGGTTCACGCCATTCTCCTGCCTCAGCCTCCCGAGTAGCTGGGACTACAGGCGCCCGCCACCGCGCCCGGCTAATTTTTTGTATTTTTAGTAGAGACGGGGTTTCACCTTGTTAGCCAGGATGGTCTCGATCTCCTGACCTCATGATCCACCCGCCTCGGCCTCCCAAAGTGCTGGGATTACAGGCGTGAGCCACCGCGCCCGGCCACAACATACAACACTCTTAAAATCTACTCAAGATAAATGAAAACATGTTTGTATGAGGACATGTAAGTGAATGTTTACTGTAGCATTATTCATAATAGTCCCTAACTGGAAAATATTCATATAGCCACCAACTGGTGAATACATAAACATAATATGATATATTCAGATAATGGAATAGTATTAGCAATAAGAGCAAAATGCTGATACATACTGCAATATAAATAAACCTCAAAATATTATGCTAAGTTAAAGATGCCAGATGCAAAAGACTACATGTTTTATAATTCAATTCATATTGAAAGGTCCAGAGAAGCCAATTCTATACAGACAGAAAACAGATAGGCTGCCAGGAGGTGGAGGTAGAAACAGATATTGACTGCAAACAGGCATGAGAAATGTTTTTGATGTGATGGGAAAGTTCTAAAACTGATATGCTCATGGTACAAAGAATCCTCTCCAAGCTCAAATTTTTACACTGCTCTCATAAGTGAATAATAATGGGAATTTCCCTTCCCATTCATACACTTAATGATCTCTGTGACCCCTGAAATGATGGGCATAAAAGGGGCATGCCGGGCCAAAGGAACCATTTCATGTCACCACACAGAAGAAAGCCTAGAGACTGGGAAGGGAAGGAAAATCGGCCTCTGTGTTTTTCCCCTAATCTCTTACGTAGGTGCTCCATCCCAAGTCTTACCTGCAGCATCTCTACTGACGATCCCCTCAACCTCCGCTGGAGATCTGAGATGAGCGTGCTGGCATCCTGCCTCTGCTGGACCAGCTGGTCTGTAGCTGCTGCCAGGTTATCCAGCACATTCACCTCACCTTCCTCCAGCTTTTGCAGCTCTCTCTGCTCCTCATTGTCCAAGATGACTCTCATTTCATTGAACCCTTTCAGAATCTTCTGTCTCTCGATCTGGATATAATTCTTGGGAATGAAAAGAGAAAGAGGCAGTCAGTCTGGCTGGTTGAAGGCCTGCTTTGTATGAGCCTGGGAGACAGGATAAGAACAGTTTTCCTCAGGGAGTTCTCAAAAGGAATAGGAGGCAAAAGCCAATACACAATTTCTGGTGAAGCCATGTTTTTCTACTTTTTAACCTGAGCTCCTCCCAAAGCAATACACTCAAGTCAGTTTTATTGAGGCCTAATCTGAGACAAAATGTGATGCCTGGGTGAGGCTTGGATTGTAGACACCTGTCCTGAACAACTTTGCCTTTCTGTATCTTAAATCCCTCTACCTGGCCTGGCACAGTGGCTCATGCCTGTAATCCCAGCACTTTGGGAGGCTGAGATGGGTGGATCACAAGGTCAGGAGATTGAGACCATCCTGGCTAACATGATGAAACCCCATCTCTACTAAAAATACAAAAAATTAGCTGGGCATGGTGGCACATGCCTGTAGTCCCAGCTACTCGGGAGGCTGAGGCAGGAGAATCGTTTGAACCAGGGAGGCAGAGGTTGCAGTGAGCCAAGATCGCGCCACTACACTCCAGCCTGTATGACAGAGAGAGACTCTGTCTCAAAAAACAAACAAACAAACAAAAAAATCCCCCTACTGAAACCCCCTAAACAGGGAATCCTGGGTCTTTCTCCAGGGTGTTTACTGGAAGGATTGGAGCCTCAAACCTGATGACACAAATGGAACACAGGATTCACAGGAAGCGTTTTCACAGATATTTCCCTCCATGCCTTCACTTCCAAATATAGTGTTGATTTATGATATGTCTACTCTCCAGCCCCTAAACTCCAACAGGGAAGGAGTTAAATTGAGACCTAATCAAATGACTTCTATGCTTGTTAATTCTAGCACAGCAAAGAGGAAGGGGTCTCCTTGTGATAGAGCCCAGGGTCCTGCCCAGATTCCTGTCTAATTATCCCTTAGGAGGTGTCTCCTCCTGCCTTCCAGGCGGTTCTCTCTTGTCTGATGTCATCTTCCAGCTTCTCAGCCTCTTGATCCTCCTTTATCAGCCTCTGCAGGGCTACCTGCAGCTTTTCCTGTAAGAAATAAATTATACCAGAGTAAAGTTATGAGCTTTCTCAGCACCTGAATAGAGGACAGCAAGGAAGAAATTGGATGGCTCTCAGAAGAAACTAGTTTACAGAAACAGTGAGGCTGGTGATTAGAACCTATGGCATGGGGGAAAATCTGAGGAGATGAATGTATTCTTTATTCCTGGATGATGGAAGTCACCATCCTCTTATCAAGAGTAGCCTGATTCTTTTCCTAGAGAAAAAGCAGACCCTGCAGTAAGGAAAGACGTCCTTTCATTGCCACTCTTCCCACATCTAACCAGACGTGTTCCCAAAAATACTGTTCTTCTTGGAGGGGCAATGAAAGCTTATCTTACAAAGCAATTCTCCATTCATTCAACTTTTCCTTGCTAAAAATTTGTACTCTTTTTTAAATAAAACAATGTGCAGCAGTGTCCTTCAGGCATCAGAAACTAAGCAAAGAGTATGGAAAGAGATCACAGGGCTCTCCGTTCTATGGTGACAAGGGGAATAAAGCAGGACAAAAAAAGTGGAGATTTCACATTAGGTACCATCTTCTGCTCTCTGCTCTCTCTTCCTCTATCTTGGAGCCTACCTGACATTCCTTGACCACCTCGTTTATGCGGAATGTTTGGTGACCTTGGTGTTCCTGAGACAGTTCACAAACCCAGCAAATGACTTTTCCATCCTCCTTACAGAAGATCTGGAGTTTTTTTCCATGGTGCTCACAGACATCTCTCTTCTGCCCCTCCTGTGGGCTCATCTTGACCTCTTTGACTCTCTCAACTATGTTGGCCAGATGCCGATTAGGTCGGAGGTTCCCAGGCTGGAATCTGGTCTGACACACAGGACAGCTGCTTTCCCCTCTTGAGATGATCACTGACTCCTTGATCTTTGCAGTGATGCAGGCTTGGCAGAAGCTGTGGCCACAATCTAGGCTCAGAGGTTCTGTCAGGAGCTCCAGGCAGATGGGGCAGGTCACCTCCTTCTCTATGTCTACCTTTACTGAGAAATCCATTGCACTGCTCCCTTGGCTTCCTTCTGTCTTGACTCTTGAAGTTCTTGGTCACAAACTCCTGCAGTGCTGAGAATGTTGAAGGGGACAGGGTAAGAAAAGAAGGAATAGAAAGAATACTGCTTTTACAGAGATTTAGAACAGGACAAAACATTAATATTTAACAGAGAAAGGAGAAAAGAAAGGCATGAAGAATAAACCAATGACAGAATAAAATGGACTTTGTAGTAATTTCAAACACTTTATTCTTAATTTTTGTCTCAGGACAAATTTCACCCCATCAAGGCAATTATTGTTATTTTCTCTTCTACTGGAGAGGACAAACTGAGGCTCTTCTACCAAGAGCTTCGTGTAACCCATCATTTGTCCTGCCTTTTGTTCCCCAACCCAAAACACATTTTCCATGTTAAATGCACTAAACACACCCCTGCCCCTGGGCTTGCACACAGGCTTTTCTCTCTGAATGGCATGATTGTATCCCCAATATTTGCATGATTCATGAATATTTGCATATTTTTAAGCTATTGAATTGTATTTACATAGCATCAAACACTGCATCAAACATCATTTTTAAGTGTATCATGCAATAATTTCTAGTAAATCTGTGGAACTATATAACTATTACTGTAACCCAATTTAAAATTATTTTTATCACCTGAAAAAAAAAAACCCTAATGCCATCACTCCTATTCTGATCCCAAGCTCCAGGCAACCACTACTAATATCCTTTGGGTTTTTAATCAGTTGATAAAAATAGAATCATAATATATGTCTTTGGTGTCTGAATTATTTTACTTATACTGTTAAGGTTTATCTCCTCTGACTTTTTTCCCCATGTAAAAAATACCTCCTCAATTAAACTATCAAATCTATGGCTCCTCAAGGCTTTTGCACTTGCTCCTCTCTCTGCATAAAATGATCCTCCCCCTGATGTTAGCAAGACTCACTCTTACATTTAATTCAGTCTCCTCTTAGAAGTCCTCTTCTTAGAAGGACATACTATAATTTACTTATAGCAAAACCACCAGTACTGTCACTCACTGCACATTTAGCTTCTTATTTTTACTATGTAATATATAAGATTGTTCTTTAAATGTCTACTTCTTCCTCCTGAAAAGTAATCCATTCATAGACCTGGGACTTTTTTTGTTCACTGATATGTCCTCTATACCTAGAAAAGTGAATCACATACAGGAATAAAACATTTAACGAATATATAAAGCCACAACTTCCTTATCCCTCCATAGATGATTAGACCTTTTAATCAGATTTTCATCTTTTCTTTCCATCAATTAGCAGTTTCCCAATAGCTGACCTTTGGGACCACAATTATGGTTTCCAGTGAAGAAGTGTTTACATCCTAACACATCTACCCATAGCAAGTCCTCCCATGACCTCACACTCCATCCCCAAAGACATACACACACACCCACACACCACCACCACCAACACCATAATAGGAAAATAATTTTATCATGAACAATTTTATAAGCAGTTACAATTTAGAAATCATTTTGACTTCTTTATTCTTCATACAAAACCCTTGAGAAATAAGAATACTCCCTTTCTTCAGGTGTGTCAATAGAATCAAGTGACTTACAAAGATCACTCATTCTAATCTAATAGGTAGAGTAAGAGTGAATGTATTGTCCCCAAGGTCCTCCTTCAGAGTTCTCTCCACTGCAGCACAGATTTATACAGACAACAAAGGTAAAGGCTACAAGAGCTATACTGATACCCAGTGCTATTGGGGGTATAGAAATGGAGAGATCCAGACCAGCTATGTAGTTCTGGGGCATGCTGTGGTTTTAAATGTTGAAATTTCACCTTGGCCTGGACATATGGCAAGGATGGTGATAGGAACCTAAAGATGTATATATTTTGGGAAGAGGAAAAGAGGCTAAAATAGTTATAGGATCACACACATGATATAGACTCAATATACATTTCAAAGAAACATCTGTTGGTCATGGGAGAAAAGTCTCAATCCATAAAGGAGGCCAAGTACATTGAGAATATGTAGCAGAGAGATAAAGTCTGTCCTGTTTCTCCCCAAATGATGTTGAAATCCTAATGTGTGAATGTGCTCTTATTTGAAACTAGTATATTTAAATACTATTTAGTTACCATGTGCTCATTAGGGTAGACCCTTATCCAACATGACTGTGTCCTTATCAAAAAGGGACATTTATACACAAGGAATATGCCAGGGTGAAGAAGAAAGCAGAGATCAGGGTGATGCACCTATAAGCCAAGGAATGCTAAAGGTTTCCAGGAAACTATTAGAAGCTAGAAGAGAGGCATGGACCAGAGGCCTCCTTCATAGCCTTCAGAAGGAACCAGCCCTGTCAACACATTTTATCTTGGATAACTAGCCTCCAGAATTGTAAGGCAATATATTTCTGCTATTTAAGCCAACCACTTTTGGTACTTTTTCTATGACAGCTCTAGAAAACTAATACAAGTGCTTATTTTTCTTGATTTATTCATTCTTTTTTTTTTTTTTTTTTTTTTGAGACGGAGTCTCACTCTGTCACCCAGGCTGGAGTGCAGTGGTGCGATCTCGGCTCCTTGCCAGCTCCGCCTCTCGGGTTCACGCCATTCTCCTGCCTCAGCCTCCAAGTAGCTGGGACTACAGGCGCCCGCCACCACACCCGGGTGATTTTTTGGTGTCTTTTTAGTAGAGACGGGGTTTCACTGTGTTAGCCAGGATGGTCTCGATCTCCGGACCTCATGATCTGCCCGCCTCGGCCTCCCAAAGTGCTGGGATTACTGGCGTGAGCCACCGCGCCCGGCCTATTCATTCTTTATTCTAACATTGAAGAAATGTAGCCCCATTGAAACCCTTCCGACCTAAGACAGGTAGACAGACAGACACATAAACAAAATGCATGCTCCCCTTTGAAGGTGGTGCGAATGTAGAAGTTTCTATGACACGGTGAAGGCTAACTAGGTCCGTAGCTTCCTTGTTTCAGAATACTCTGATTACCTGCACAGAAGCTTTCTTTATCTGTGCAATTTAAATCAAAAAAAAAAAAAAAAAAAAGATGGCCAGGCGCTGTGGCTCAAGCCTGTAATCCCAGCAGTTTGGGGGGCCGAGGCGGGCAGATTACCTGAGGTCAGGAGTTTGAGGCCAGCCTGGCCACTATGGTGAGACCCCGTATCTACTAAAAAATATATATATATACAAACATTAGCCAGGTGTGACAGCAGTTGCTTGTAGTCCCCGCTACTCTGGAGGCTGAGGCAGGAGAATCACTTGAACCCAGGAGGCGGAGGTTGCAGTGAGCTGAGATCACACCACTGCACTCCAGCCTGGCAACAGAGCAAGACTCCGTCAAAAGAAAAAAAAAAAAAAAGATTAAATTAAATTAGTGTGGCTACACAATAAGGAGAAAAATTATAAGGGGTTTAGCCATCAATATCTTTTTTTTTTTTTTTTGAGACAAGGTCTCACTGCGTTGCCCAGGCTGGTCTCAAACTCCTCAACTCAAGCAGTCCTCCAGTCTTGGCTTCCCAAAGTGCTGGGATTTTTGGCTAGGCTTTGGCACAAGCCACCAGGTGCCTGGCCTAGCCAACATCTTTTAAATTTCCCCTGTTCCTTGGGTCAGGAACTACCAATGGAGAAAATAGGTCCTGTTCTTGGCATGCAGAAACCTGGAGAACTCAGAAACACCGTTACCACTTCTTATTTGTCTAAACTCAGAGTTCCTTTTTCAATGACCCACTAAAATGTCCAGGGTTTAGTTTTCCCCAAGTAATGACCCTTTTTCCAAGAGTTCTAACTCTCTGGTCAATATGTTTCAGATAAGTCATTTTGTAACAGAGGACAGATTTCATAAAGCTACCCCAGTGTCATCTCTTTCTCTCACAGTTAGTTCATCAGTTCTTAAATCCATCATTTTATTGAAGACTGCTCAAAATCATTGTCTCACAGTGAGACCTAATGTGAAATCTATTTAAAGTTGCAAAGCCCTTGACAAGAGCACTACAGATACCACATCCTATTGCAGCCCTTTTAGTTTGTTGCTTTTGTTTTATTGGTTTTACATTTATCCTCTAGTAACTGCTACCTTTTTGCTACATTAAAACTGCTGGTTTACTTCCTTTTTTTGACTGCGTGTTTACTTCCTTTTCCCTAGTCCAGAGCATAATCTCTTACCGGTATTTAATGTTGATTATATATCGAATAGATAGTTTTTTTGTTTTTGTTTTTGTTTTTTTACTATACCTGTATGCTTTTGTTTTGTGAATTTAGTCAAAAATATTTTTCAAAAATTAAAAGTACAGTTTTATTTATTGGGTCCTGTACTAGACTTGACAATGAATAAATACTAGATATGGACCTTGACAAGATGTGCGGTACAGACACATAAGGAGACAGTTACCTGGACCTCTGAAAAGTGAAACAAAGAAAAGGACACATCAGAATATGGGTGACATAGGCATCAAGGTACAAAATGCTCAGCGATAAGATCGAGATAAGACTCAGGAGAAATTACCAACTCCTTGCCTTAGCTCTGTGCAAGGGAAAATTGAGTAGGGAGTTGAGGTAACTCATGATGAAAAGGTGTACCTAGAATAATAGCAACTTCTAAAACAGGAGTGGATACCAGAGGTTCATTGGGTGCTACAGAAGTTGAGGGAGGAGACCACCTCTCATATTGTCTTATGCCCAATTTCTGCCTCCAAAGAAAGAAAAAGTAAAAACTAAAAGGCAGAAATGAAATCCACAAGCAGACAGCCCGGGGCCACACCCTGGACCTGGTAGTTAAAGATGGACCCCTGACCTAATTGGTTTGTTATCTATAGATTCCAGACATTGTATAGAAAAGCACTGTGAAAATCCCTACTCTGTTTTGTTCCGATCTAATTACCGGTGTATGCAGCCCCCAGTCACGTACCCCCTGCTTGCTCAATCGATCACGACCCTCTCACGCGGACCCCCTTAGAGTTGTGAGCCCTTAAAAGGGACAGGAATTGCTCACTCGAGGAGCTCGGCTCTTGAGACAGGAGTCTTGCCTATGCCCCTGGCCGAATAAACCCCTTCCTTCTTTACCTCGGTGTCTGAGGAGTTTTTTCTGTGGCTGGTCCTGCTACAAAGGAAGAGTAAGCTGTGGGTACTCAGAAGAACAAGTTCCCTGTGACTGGACCTTCAGAGACAAGAGACCAAAGTGGAGCTGCAGAGATGAGCAGCAGTCTGCCCGTCCTGCGGCCTCTCTCCTCGGACTAACCAGAGGGCTGCTAATTTATCAGGAAAGCTATGGACAGCATCCAAAAAGTTACCAGAAGGCAAGTAAAAGGATAACCTTCAAAAGGGCCTTACTTCTGAAGACTGAGTACCTAAGACTCCTTCGCCTCATACCCAGATCCAGATAAGGGCTCTCATCCCTGCTGAACCTCATCATGAGGTTGCTTTATGAAAAGTGAAAACAAAGCTTCATTGCACAGGCTTCTTCGGGAGAAAGGAGGAAGGAATTTGCTGCCTCTGAATAAAAGAAAATTCTGATCCACGTTGGCAAAATGGAAAAATCAAAATGACAGAATAGGAATGTGGGGTATGATAAGGTTTCTCTTCAAATAGCCTGATCAATCCTTTATTCTTTAATTCACAGTGCCCCTCCCCACTTCACTTTTCTTCTCTTCTCTTTCCTTTCTGCTTTTGCTACATGCCTAGACATGTCACAGTACCAGGCGTTATCAGTACCAACTCACATTCCTTTCCTTATTTTGGAAGAAGATTAGTTATCTAGCTCATCACACACACCCCTTCCCCATCTCCCCTCTCTCCCTCACGTGCCCACCTTATCTAAAGAAAGTTAAAATGTTTAGCCAACTGAGTCTAGTTTAGATTGTGTGGCCGACTCCAGCCAATGGGGAAAGGGCAAAGGGGTAGGATTTGCGTCAGGAATAAAAACTTTCTTCCTCCTTTGTTCTAGTGTGCTCTCATGGCGACTGGCAAAGAAGAAGCACCCCTCTGCACAGAAATAAAATTGCTTTGCTGAGAAATCCTTTGTTTGAGTGCTCGTCTCCCTTAAGATTCTGAGCTTTATTTCCAACAAGGAAGGTGATGGAGGTACCTAGATTGAAGAAATGAATGGTCCCTCTAGGAAACAAGCAAGGCTTTTTGCTTTTGCAAACCTCTCTTCTTTAAAGGTTACCCCTCTCCCAGACTCAGTGCTTTCTTCCTCTGCCATCTCAGCAGACAGTTCACAAGCTGCCTCTTTTTGTTTATGCAGAGCAGCTTCAGAACTACAAATTAAACTCACCCAGACACAATCAATCTATTCTTCTCAAAGCCTCCCATTCTATGCTCCCACAGATTGCTCCACTCACCTTCAGTCCAAAGCAGAGGAGTCTTGAATCAGGGGAGAAGAGTGAAGGCAGGGCAGGAGCCGGTGTAAACCAGATTCACTCACCAAGCCAGAGGGCTGGTCTCCACAAATGAGTTTCCCCACAGGAGCTGAGTGAGAAACGAAAGTTAAATTCTCAGAAGTGAAAGAAAACAAAGGAAGCTGAACAAGAACTTACATAACAATAAACCCTGGGGAAAGTAATGCTACATTATGTTCTAGCATCTGCTGTACTGGCAAGGCACTCAGTCACTACTTCCTTATTCTTACTGTGGTTTACTCAAGCAAGAATATTTGAATAAAAAGAATGTGAATTACAGTTATACAGCTTGCCTGAATACTTAGAATTCCAATGCAGTCCTATAATTATTAGTCGAATTTATCTTATATTTAAGACCTAAGCCAGGAAAATAAAGATCCAGAGACTTGGGACCTAGCTTCTTGAAATGCAGTCTGACGAGGAAGATACTCAGTTATAAAGCTCTACAAATTTGGGCTGACAAGATGAGTATTAGCAGCTGACATTGTGAATGGTAAAAAAATTATTTTTATAAATAAAAGGATCTTTAGTGTGAGCCCATTGAAAAAAATGTTCTCAAAATGTCATTAAATCTTAAGAGTCCATCAATTAATTATCACTTCCTGCTCCTAATCCAGACAGACCAGATGAGGATGGATTCCAGAGAGTAATAGAGGTAAAACTGTGTCAGTGTCATGTTACCCAGCCACTGAGGCAGGTGAGAACATGGAAGTTAACAGATGATGCTGTTTAATTATAATCATTCATTGAGTTACTCTCATGCCTTCATAATTTTTCCACTTTTCCCTGCTTCTCTAAGAAAAGTTTGGTCATTTTTACACAATCAATTAAAAAGCAGCACTGAAACATGTTATACGTCATGCACATACTTCTGTACCCTGTTGTCTATTGTATTCTTGTTTAACTGCATGTGCCAGATAATGCCATCAAAAACTGATGGAGGCCTGTGGTGTCTCATGCCTGTAATCCCAGCACTCTGGGAGGCCCAGGTGGGTGGATCACTTGAGTCCAGGACTTCAACACCAGCCTGGGCAACATGGTGAAATCCCATCTCTAAGAAAAATTAAAAAAAAAAAAATAGCTGGGTGTGGTGATGTGCACCTGTAGTCCCAGCTACTCAGGAAACTGAGATGGGAGGATGGCTTGAGCCCAGGAGGTGGAGGTTGCATTGAGCCAAGATTGCGTCATTGCACCATAGCACTGCAGCCTGGGTGACATAGTAAGACCCTGTCTCTACAAAAAACAAACAAACAAACACCACACAACACATACACACACACACCCAAAAAAAAAGAAAAAAAAAGGCAACTCATGGAGCTTCCATAACATGGATCCCTGACTGACACTATGGAGCATGGCCATCTTCATACTTTAATCAATGATACACATGTAGGATGACTGAGAAATCAATGTTTATTATTTCAATAATAGATATTTTGGTATTATTTGTTGCTCACAGAATAATAAGCTAATCCTGGCTATAAATTCTTTCCTACTCACTTATATCTATGAGGACCTTATTCAATCAGCTGAAAGCCAGAATAGAAGAAAAAACTGACTTCTCCCCGAGAAGAGGGAATATTACCAGCAGGCAAACCTCAGGCGTGAGCTATAACGTTGACTCCTTCTTGGATCCAGAGCCTCTTGGCCTACCTTGCAGACTTTGGATTTGCCAGTCTCCAGAATCACCTGAGACATTTCTCAAGTTTCTTTCCAAATAAATTCATAGTTTAGTGGTTCTATTGCTATGATGAACCTTGACTAAGACAGGCGTGAAATTTTCTTATTTCTTCTTGAAGATAAATAAGCAAGAGATGTAATTTTAGGTATATTCCATGTTTGAATAGAATATCTTGTTGACATTTGTAGGGGAGTGAGCGCTCAGTGAGTGAATGTGTTTTTTCTGGAGTGCACAGAGTGGAGTCCGAGTGTCAACCACAATGGACAAAGTGAATGAACTCATTTATCCAGAGACCTGTTCTCTGTCCATTATTTCTTCCCTTCTCAGCACTTCCATAGATCTCATAGCCATCCTTTTATTCTCGTCTGGCTTTGAACATCTGAAGTGAACTTTCATCCTGGTCTGATTTATCTCATGAAGTATTAATTGCAGCTGAGAGAAAACAGTAGTAATATTAGGTCCTGACAAGATACCAGAAAACGTGGGCCAATAGAAAAACTGAATGCACCACACACAGTTTATCACCAGAGTAGAGCATGTTGGCAGGCTCCATATTCTAACCTATGTTCTAAATTGTAGAAAAAATATATTATTGTTGGAGCTCTGTGTTTTCTCTGTAAACCCTTTTTTTTTTTTTTTTTTTTGAGACGGAGTCTCGCTCTGTCGCCCAGGCCGGACTGCGGACTGCAGTGGTGCGATCTCGGCTCACTGCAAGCTCCGCTTCCCGGGTTCACGCCATTCTCCTGCCTCAGCCTCCCGAGTAGCTGGGACTACAGGCGCCCGCCACCGCGCCTGGCTAATTTTTTGTATTTTTAGTAGAGACGGGGTTTCACCTTGTTAGCCAGGATGGTCTCAATCTCCTGACCTCATGATCCACCCACCTTGGCCTCCCAAAGTGCTGGGATTACAGGCGTGAGCCACCGCGCCCAGCCTGTAAACCTTATATATCCTGCTTTCCTGCTTGAAAAGGAATCAAATGAAATATCTCTACCTTTGGGTCCATGGATATTTAACATTTTTCTCTTCAAGAAAAAGAGCAAAATAAGAGTAAATATGGTTAGAGTCTGAATAATACTTAGGAAGAAAACAGAGAGGATATTTTAAAAAATCGTTTAAAATTTGTTTAAAAATTTACATAATTACTTTTTTTTTTTTTTTTTTTTTTTTTTTTTTTTTTTTTTTTTGAGACAGAGTCTCACTCTATTGCCCAGGCTGGAGTGCAGTGGCATGATCTCGGCTCACTTCAACCTCCACCTCCCGGGTTCACGCAATTCTCCTTCCTCACCCTCCTGAGTAGCTGGGATTACAGGCATCTGCCATTACACCTGGCTAATTTTTGTATTTTTCGTAGAGATGAGGTTTCACCATGTTGGTCAGGCTGGTCTCAAATTCCTGACCTCAAGTGATCCACCCGCCTTGGTCTCCCGAAGTGCGAGGATTACAGGTGTGAGCCACTGCAAATGTAATCATTACATAATTATTACTAATGCCACATAATTATTACTAAATAACAATTAGTAATATTAATTATAATTGTAACTATTAATAATTGTAATTATTAATAATACTAATTATTATAATTATTACTATAATTATTACTGCCACATAATTATTACTAATGCCAGAAGAATATTTGAATTAAACTAGGTGACACAGCAGTTATCTTTACAGCAAGAATAGAACAGAAATGTGACATCAAGATATTCAATTAAAATTAGATTAATAGCTATATATCTTCATATCTATTTAAATATTACTCCTTATATACACCATATTCTAGTAAATCTGAGACAATAAAGAACAAAATGCAAAAGCCCCCTACCTGATTTCATGAAACAGAAAGCTGCGGGGGTACAGTGTGGAGGGGGTATGAGGTTACTGATGATGGAATTAAGTGATAACAGGCTGCCCACTGCAGTGCTCCCCATTGCCTTCTCCTGAGGCATTTTCATTTTCAAACTAAATACTCCTCTCTACCAATGATCCTAGTTCCAGTGTGGACTTCCTGAGATGTTCCAGTAAGGGAAAGCTTAGAAGGGAGGCTATGGTACATGGACCACAGTTCAGCCTTTTGGACCAGTTTTGCATAGTAACCAGAAGAGAAGAGAGAGGAAGGCCTGGCCCTGCTCAGGGATGCAATAGATACTTTGGAAAAGACAACAGCGGGAAGTTGGAGAGTTCTTTGAAAGTGAATAGTTGAAAGAAATAATGTGGTATTTCTTTATCGCTCTCCAGATAAACTTCTTTTTTTTTTTTTTTTTTTTTTTTTTTTTGAGACGGAGTCTCACTCTGTCGCCCAGGCTGGAGTGCAGTGGCGCGATCTCTGCTCACTGCAAGCTCCGCCTCCCGGGTTCACGCCATTTTGCTGCCTCAGCCTCCGGAATAGCTGGGACCACAGGCACCCGCCACCATGCCCGGCTAATTTTTTATTTTATTTTATTTTATTTTATTTTATTAGAGATGGGTTTTCACCGTGTTAGCCAGGATGGTCTCGATCTCCTGACGTTGTGATCCGCCCGCCTCAGCCTCCCAAAGTGCTGGCATTACAGGCGTGAGCCACCGCGCCCGGCCCTCTCCAGATAAATTTCTAGCATCCTGTCCTCTCTGGGTTTCGGAGTCTTAATAATATGACATCTCTCCTACCTGCAGCTCCTTTTCTGTTCATAGGTCCTATAAGATTTTTAAGTCCAGACCAGAAATCTACTGCAATTCTCTAAAAATCATTAACTTTGTTCTTCCTTCTCTTTGGGCCATATCTGTCACCCAGAAGCAGAACTCAGCTGTGAGATCAGGAGCAAGAGGAGCACATTGGAAGAATTTCGAAAAAGGGCACCTTTTCTAATTTTTAATACTTGGCTGGGTTAATCTGAAACTATGTCAGAAGAAGTGGCATGATAACAAGATCCTGAGACTCAAGAGAAAAGGGAGATTGAGTGGGAATGCCTCTAGTTCCCACGGCTCCTCCTGTGAACAGCACAGCTACACGGCCCGGCTGATTCATTCAGAGGGCGGGACTCACCAGGCCCTACGTGGAGAAATGCCATTGGCCCATAGTTTATCTTTCACTTTCCTGCCCTGAGTGTGAGCAAGAATTTCCTGCGGTTCCTCTAGGAAAATTCCTTTGTGCAGATCAGGCCCGTGGATTGGTGAGTGAATCCTAACCACGTCTTCCCTGGCCTGTCTTCACTCTTCTCCCCAGAATCACCACTTCTGCACTGGTGTCTGAAGGTGTATTGAGTGATTTTGTGGAGGGCAGAAGTAGGAAGTCTTTGGGACAAAACTGTATTTACCTTGGTGAGTTTAACTTATCTGAAAAGCTGTGCGGGGGTGGGGAAAAGACACAGTTCACAGACTTCTTGCTGCCAGAGCTGACTGAGGGGAACAGAGCCGCCTGGCGGGCAGGCAGATTTGAAAGAAGGGAGAGCTTTAAAGTGAAGGGCTTTGTTTCCCGAAGGCTGGTTATTTTTCCATGCTGACTCTCTCCCCATCCCCTCCCTACTCTATACTTTTTAATTGAACTTTGCTGTAGAGAGCCAGAATTCTCTCTTTCAGTGTCTTCTCCCAACAACAAGGGCAAAGACAGGGGCCTTGGAATCCTAATGATTTAATGCCTATTAGTTTACTAATGTAGTGTTTCTGCATAACTCTACAGGTCAGTTCTCATCACCTTGGCCTGGCTCTGTGACATCAGCCTTCATGGTGTGACAGCTGTCCAGTTCTGTAGTCCTGTCATTGTCACTGTAAATGGAGTTCTTTCCCTAGTTCATATTGGTTACAAAGATAATGGGAAAAAAGGCAAGCAGGTTTTATTTCTTGCTAGGAGTGGAGAGTAAGAGAGCTCCTTCTCTAAAGCCCCCTCCCCCAAAACAGTGGAAAGCATTGGCTTTAAAAGAACTGAGTACGGGGAGAGAAAGGAGTGTTAGCCTATAGGGTGGAACTCCAGTTGTGCCACCTCTGTTTATAAACACATGTCTTCATACTGTGTCCGGAATTGGTGGGTTCTTGGTCTCACTGACTTCAAGAATGAAGCCGCGGACGCTTGCAGTGAGTGTTACAGTTCTTAAAGGCGGCATGTCCGGAGTTTCTTCCTTCTGATGTTCGGATGTGTTCAGAGTTTCTTCTTTCTGGTGGGTTCGTGGTCTCGCTGGCTCAGGAGGGAAGCTGCAGACCTTCGCGGTGAGTGTTACAGCTCATAAAGGCAGTGTGGACCCAAAGAGTGAGCAGTATTAAGATTTATTGCAAAGAGGAAAATAACAAAGCGTCCATAGTGTGGAAGGGGACCAGCGCAGGTTGCCACTGCTGGCTCAGGCAGCCTGCTTTTATTCTCTTATCTGGCCCCACCCACATCCTCCTGATTGGTCCATTTTACAGAGAGCCGAGTGGTCTGTTTTGACAGGGCACTGATTGGTGCATTTACAATCCCTGAGCTAGACACAAAAGTTCTCCAGTCCCCACTAGATTAGCTAGATACAGAGTGTAGACACAAAGATTCTCCACATCCCCACCAGAGTAGCTAGATACAGAGTGTCGATTGGTGCATTCACAAACCCCGAGCTAGACACAGGGTGCTGATTGGTGTGTTTACAAACCTTGAGCTAGATACAGAGTGCCGATTGGTGTATTTACAATCCCTTCGCTAGACATAAAGTTTCTCCAAGTCCCCACCAGAGTAGCTAGATATAGAGTGTCGATTGGTGCATTCACAAACCCTGAGCTAGACACAGGGTGCTGATTGGTGCATTTACAATCCCTTAGCTAAACATAAAGGTTCTGCAAGTCCCCACCAGACTCAGGAACCCCACTGGCTTCACGCAGTGGATCCTGCACCGGGCCGCAGGTGGAGCTGCCTGCCAGTCCTGTGCCATGCCACGCACCTGCACTCCTCAGCCCTTGGGTGGTGATGGGACTGGGCGCCGTGGAGCAGGGGGCGGTGCTCGTCAGGGACGCTCGCGCAGCACAGGAGCCCAAGGGGTCGTGGGGAGGCTCAGGCATGGTGGGCTGCAGGTCCTGAGCTCTGCCCCGCGGGGAGGCAGCTAAGGCCCGGCGAGAAATTGAGCACAGCAGCTGCTGGCCCAGGTGCTAAGCCGCTCACTGCCCGGGGCAGCGGGGCCGGCCGGCCACTCCGAGTGCGGGGCCCACCAAGCCCACGCCCACCCGGAACTCCAGCTGGCCCACAAGCGCGGCGCGCAGCCCCGGTTCCCGCTCGCCCCTCTCCCTCCACACCTCCCTGCAAGCTGAGGGAGCCAGCTCCGGCCTTGGCCAGCCCAGAAAGGGGCTCCCACAGTGCAGCGGTGGGCTGAAGAGCTCCTCAAGTGCCGCCAAAGTGGGAGCCCAGGCAGAGGAGGCGCCAAGAGCGAGTGAGGGCTGCAAGGACTGCCAGCATGCTGTCACCTCTCAATACAACCCAGGCACACAAAATGGTGGAGATTTTCTTGTTTGGTGTCGTGTGGGGGAGGGGGTAACTTAACACTCTAGTGATATGTTAATGATCTAAAGGCAATTAGGGATTGTCAGTTCCAGTATATACGCTGGTTCGGGGGTCTAATTTCCCCCTTGGATCTGGTCAGGGGTCAAGATCTGGACCATGCTGGGCAGTCTGGCTTCTTCTTAAGCAACTTTGTCTATACATAAAGGGAATAAAGAAAAACGTTAAGAAAAATAACTTTCCCAGTCATTTCATCAGGGCTTCCCTGGTGACAGCATCTGTTTGCCTCTACTAGGGCACCAAGTCCAGACTCAGGGAACTACTGGATTTTCTTAAAAATCATTAACCTTGCTCCTCCCTCTCCGTGGGCCGTATCTGCCCCCCAAAAGCAGAGCTTAGGTGAGATACGAAGAGCAGGAGAAGCATGTGGAAAGAATACCCAAGTAGCTGGGATTACAGGCACCTGTCACCAAGCTCAGCTCATTTTGTATTTTTAGTAGAGACAGAATTTCACCATGTTGGCCAGGCTGGTCTTGAACTCCCAGCCTCAGGTGATCCGCCTGCCTTGGCCTCCCAAAGTACTAGGATTACAAGCGTGAGCCACCACACCCGTCTGGTTAAGTTAAATATTAAAAGCTGAAGCCGGGCACGGTGGCTCACGCCTGTAATCCCAGCACTTTAGGAGGCCGAGGCAGGTGGATCACAAGGTCAGGAGTTGGAGACCAGACTGGCCAATATGGTGAAACCCCATCTGTACCAAAAATACAAAAATTAGCCGGGTGTGGTGGTGCGTGCCTGTGGTCCCAGCTGCTCGGGAGGCTGGGGCAGAGGAGTCACTGGAACCTGGGAGGCAGAGGTTGTGGTGAGCCGAGATTGTGCCATTGCACTCCAGCCTGGGCGACAGAGCAAGACTCCGTCTCAAAAAAGAAAAAAAAATATTAAAAGCTGATAGAGCCAGTGCCCTTATACAAAGGCTGGAATGTAACAGAAGCCCACTGAGAGTTTTGCCCAGGCCTTTCCTGGGCCTTGAAGCATGACAAGATAACGAAGGAATCGATTAGGACCTGTTTAGGATTAAACAAGTTTTATGGGGGTCTGAAGGAACTCCCAGGCCTCCACAAACAAGTTTATTGAGGGTCTGAAGGAACTCCGCAAACCTTAATGATTTAGCAGGAGAGACAAGATAAGGGTAATCACCCCAGCACCCGGACCCATCTAGATTAGGTAAATTTACTGAGGCACCAGAGGAAGGTCTTAAAACTCAGACCTTAGTTATAGATTTGAAGAAGTTAATCACTTATGTTTTTAGATGAATAATGCACACCTATACGTAGACGTATAGCTTAGAAGGTATATAAGCTCTGGAAAACTTTGTAATTTTGAGTTGGTCTGGAGATATTTTCTAGGCCTTCTCCCTGTACGCAGAAATAAAAATTCGCTTCTTTCCCAGTAAATCTGCATCTCGTTATTGGGCCGCAAGAAGCAGCAGCCGACCCTCCGTTTGTTCCGGGAACAGAATCATCTCATCTAATATTTTGAGACTTCTCTCTCAAGACTGATATCCACTGCCTCTGTGCTTCTAGTTTTCAAGTATCCAACATGTGTGGTCCACTGAGTATTTCTCTATCATCACCCTCTACACCATGTCTACACCTTTAGGCTCCAATAAATGTCCTTGGCAAACTTTCAGGATGAGACTCCTCAGAACCTCCCAGCTGTTGTGGATTCCTCTACTTCCACACCCCAATTGCTCTGGGTATTAATTGGATATATGCTGTTATCTCCATTTGTCATTGATTAACCAAAAGAGTAGCAAAGAGGCCAGTGAAAGAGGACCCTGAATACGAGGTCATCTCAGGTCACCATACTGAAGATAAATAATTTTTGTAAATCACTTATTATGTCTATTTATACATTTGATGAAACAGTCATTCACTCTGCTGATAATAAGAGCAATCATTGCAAACGTACAGTGCATGGTGAGATTTGTTACACTGCACATAAGGTAGTCAGAGCAGGTATTTTTGATAATATAACATGTAAGGAGAGAATTTAATAAAATCGTACTAACATCAGAGAAACATTTCATGCTGAGAGAAGAGCAAATGTGAAAGCCCTGAGGCATAAGCTGTTTGGTGATTTTAATACTGAGGATGTGTTTTGGCGTGGGAAAGAAAAGCCAGGAGAGATGATGGGTCACACAAAGATCTTGGTAGAAAAGACCTCAGTCTGTTTTCTATTCATTGAAAGTAAAGAAAAATGATAACCAATGCACAGATAAGAACAGAATTTGTCATATGACATGAACTGGCAGTAAAGTATTTAAGGTGATTATGAAAAGCCCTTATTACCAGGTAACCAAACACCTTTTCTTATTTCTCCCCTTTTTTTGTCCTTAATTATTTTCATCTTGCCCATTTTCTAATTGTGCACAATCAATATCCTTTCTATTTCTACCTTTCTTACTTGGTCCCATTTTAACCTTCCCAATCATGCAGGGATCTGTGAACAAGAGGAACCTCAGCAGCCAGGACAGGCAGGAGCAGTGGAATAGCTACTATGGCTTCTGGAATCCTGGTTAATGTAAAGGAGGAGGTGACCTGCCCCATCTGCCTGGAACTCCTGACACAACCCCTGAGCCTGGACTGCGGCCACAGCTTCTGCCAAGCATGCCTCACTGCAAACCACAAGAAGTCCATGCTAGACAAAGGAGAGAGTAGCTGCCCTGTGTGCCGGATCAGTTACCAGCCTGAGAACATACGGCCTAATCGGCATGTAGCCAACATAGTGGAGAAGCTCAGGGAGGTCAAGTTGAGCCCAGAGGGGCAGAAAGTTGATCATTGTGCACGCCATGGAGAGAAACTTCTACTCTTCTGTCAGGAGGACGGGAAGGTCATTTGCTGGCTTTGTGAGCGGTCTCAGGAGCACCGTGGTCACCACACGTTCCTCACAGAGGAGGTTGCCCGGGAGTACCAAGTAAGAGACTGGGATGGAAGGAAGAGAGGGCAGAAAATGGGACCAGATGGAAAATTTTCACTTTGCCTTTGACATTAACTGCCTTGTCATGATAGACCTGAGACCCGGGATTATTTTTTTCATGCTATGCTTAACTTCTGAGGCTTTAAGGATGGTTTTTTGCATTTCACCCAATTACAGGAGAATAATCCTAGAGTATATATTCCTGGCCGGGAGTAAATATTTTGTACCTTGGGTTAGATGGGTAGAGATTTGGTGTCCAAGAAAAGCTCTGATTACCCCTTTCAGCAGGAGAGTAACAGGAGTGGGTTGAGATGTAAGTTTTTTCCTTGCTGCAGGATTAGTTTTTTCTTCTAGGACAAAAAGAATCAGTCTACTCATGGTGAGGAGATGGGGAGGTCTATTACCTGAGATGTAGGGAGCACATTCACCAATGTAAGTTTTCTTCCAAGTCATGGATTCTCATTGCCATTCTCACAGTTTCTGCAAATTTGTTTCTTCTGAGATCAACCTGATTTATTTCATGTTTATACTCTATCTAGGTGCTGGAAAACCTCATAGCTTGACTATGGTGTGATTCCTTTCTCACAGGTGAAGCTCCAGGCAGCTCTGGAGATGCTGAGGCAGAAGCAGCAGGAAGCTGAAGAGTTAGAAGCTGACATCAGAGAAGAGAAAGCTTCCTGGAAGGCAAGAGGATGTGGTTCCCGAAGGAGTTAGCTAGAAATCTGGGCAGGACCAGGGGAAGGAGCTTTCTTCCTCTTTATTCCCTGACATTTGATAAGTCCAGAAGTCATTTGATTAGTCCTCTTCATCCTTTCCCTGATGGGGTGTGGTGGCTGAGGAGTGAATATGTCACAGTGAACACAGTAGGGAGCTCTTTACATGAAGGATCTCTCTGGTGAGGATGGCTAGTGAATCCTGCATTCTATTTTTGTGCTACTTTTTGAGTCCGTGACTCTACTTGGGGAAGACATTTGGCAATGGCTCATGATTCTGTCCTCAGTGTTCAACTTTTGGCAGGGAGTTTGAGCTTGGGCTGAGAAGTAATACAGGCAGGCATGAGTGTCCTGCATAGCTGTGTGAAAGGTAAGCTACATCCAGGTAACCCATTTTGATGCAGGATGAACCTCAATATACCCATTCAAGGTCATTGTTTTAAAATGTCATGAAGGAAAAGAAATAGGAAAAGGCAGCTTTCCTAAGACCTACTCTCCTGCTACTATGTCCCCTCCTTGTGAGAACTCCCCAAAAGAAACAGCTCCTTTTCTGGCTAACAGCCTCTGCCTGGTAGACTGAGTGCCCCTTTCTCTTCTCTTATCTCTGAAGACTCAAATACAGTATGACAAAACCAACGTCTTGGCAGATTTTGAGCAACTGAGAGACATCCTGGACTGGGAGGAGAGCAATGAGCTGCAAAACCTGGAGAAGGAGGAGGAAGACATTCTGAAAAGCCTTACGAACTCTGAAACTGAGATGGTGCAGCAGACCCAGTCCCTGAGAGAGCTCATCTCAGATCTGGAGCATCGGCTGCAGGGGTCAGTGATGGAGCTGCTTCAGGTAAAAAGTGGAAAGAAGCCTGAGCACTGAGATTAAAGAAAAGTGAAGGCTATTTCCTTCTCTGCGTTGCTGTGCTTTTTCTAATATTAACAATGTTCTCTGCAGGACCGCTTTTCTGAATCAATTGCTGAAGTTATAAGAATAATTGAATGTAGAAGTAGCAAGAGATAATCCCATTTTTATTAATTTATCCAGAGCAGTAGAAAAATTTGACGTAGTGGAGATGATCAATTAGCTCTAGTCATGTTTGATAGGTTCCTATTCTCTGTATTCTAGTGTTGAGACTTACCAGTGCAGCTTTTCATTGCTCAGCTTAGCCACTGGCAAACAAATACACGTCAAAATACAAGATGCTTTTTATTTTTTTCCTTCATGGAATTAATTGAGACTTTTTCCTTTTTTTTTAATTTTCTGAAAAGAATTAAATAACTGCTATCATTTCTTCTTTATATGCTCAATAGAATTCACTAGTAAAGGCTGGGCGCGGTGGCTCACGCCTGTAATCCCAGCACTTTGGGAGGCCCAGGAGGGCCAGTCATGAGGTCAGGAGGCCCAGGCGGGCCAGTCATGAGGTCAGGCGATTGAGACCATCCTGGCTAACACGGTGAAACCCCGTCTCTACTAAAAATACAAAAAATTCTAGATCCCTGAGGAATCGCCACACTGACTTCCACAATGGTTGAACTAGTTTACAGTCCCACCAACAGTGTAAAAGTGTTCCTATTTCTCCACATCCTCTCCAGCACCTGTTGTTTCCAGACTTTTTAATGATTGCCATTCTAACTGGTGTGAGATGGTATCTCATTGTGGTTTTGATTTGCATTTCTCTGATGGCCAGTGATGATGAGCATTTTTTCATGTGCTTTTTGGCTGCATAAATGTCTTCTTTTGAGAAGTGTCTGTTCATGTCCTTCGCCCACTTTTTGATGGGGTTGTTTGTTTTTTTCTTGTAAATTTGTTTGAGTTCATTGTAGATTCCGGATATTAGCCCTTTGTCAGATGAGTGGGTTGTGAAAATTTTCTCCCATTTTGTAGGTTGCCTGTTCACTTTGATGGTAGTTTCTTTTGCTGTGCAGAAGCTCTTTAGTTTAATTAGATCCCATTTGTCAATTTTGTCTTTTGTTGCCATTGCTTTTGGTGTTTTAGACATGAAGTCCTTGTCCATGCCTATGTCCTGAATGGTACTGCCTAGGTTTTCTTCTAGGGTTTTTGTGGTTTTAGGTCTAACGTTTAAGTCTTTAATCCATCTTGAATTGATTTTTGTATAAGGTGTAAGGAAGGGATCCAGTTTCAGCTTTCTACATATGGCTAGCCAGTTTTCCCAGCACCATTTATTAAATAGGGAATCCTTTCCCCATTGCTTGTTTTTCTCAGGTTTGTCAAAGATCAGATAGTTGTAGATATGCGTCGTTATTTCTGAGGGCTCTGTTCTGTTCCATTGATCTATATCTCTGTTTTGGTACCAGTACCATGCTGTTTTGGTTACTGTAGCCTTGTAGTATAGTTTGAAGTCAGGTAGTGTGATGCCTCCAGCTTTGTTCTTTTGGCTTAGGATTGCCTTGGTGATGCGGGCTCTTTTTTGGTTCCATATGAACTTTAAAGTAGTTTTTTCCAATTCTGTGAAGTCATTGTTAGCTTGATGGGGATGGCATTGAATCTGTAAATTACCTTGGGCAGTATGGCCATTTTCACGATATTGATTCTTCCTACCCATGAGCATGGAATGTTCTTCCATTTGTTTGTATCCTCTTTTATTTCCTTGAGTAGTGGTTTGTAGTTCTCCTTGAAGAAGTCCTTCACGTCCCTTGTAAGTTGGATTCCTAGGTATTTTATTCTCTTTGAAGCAATTGTGAATGGGAGTTCACTCATGATTTGGCTCTCTGTTTGTCTGTTGTTGGTGTATAAGAATGCTTGTGATTTTTGTACATTGATTTTGTATCCTGAGACTTTGCTGAAGTATACCATTTGACCCAGCCATCCCATTACTGGGTATATACCCAAAGGACTATAAATCATGCTGCTATAAAGACACATGCACACGTATGTTTATTGTGGCATTATTCACAATAGCAAAGACTTGGAACCAACCCAAATGTCCAACAATGATAGACTGGATTAAGAAAATGTGGCACGTATACACCATGGAATACTATGCAGCCATAAAAAATGATGAGTTCATGTCCTTTGTAGGGACATGGATGAAATTGGAAATCATCATTCTCAGTAAACTATCGCAAGAACAAAAAATCAAACACCGCATATTCTCACTCATAGGTGGGAATTGAACAATGAGATCACATGGACACAGGAAGGGGAATATCACACTCTGGGGACTATGGTGGGGTGGGGGGAGGGGGGAGGGATAGCACTGGGAGATATACCTAATGCTAGATGACGAGTTAGTGGGTGCAGCGCACCAGCATGGCACATGTATACATATGTAACTAACCTGCACAATGTGCACATGTACTCTAAAACTTAAAGTATAATAAAACAAAAACAAAAACAAAAAAAACACAACAGAAGAAAAAAAAAAAAAAAGAAATGCAAGAAAGCTAGCACCCCCAGGGGCATCCTTCAACCAATGGGGTTGGGAGTTGATGGAGAAATGCCTCAGCTCTCAGTGTTTCGGGCAGAGATTCTGGGGCATTCCCAGGAGGTTTGGTGGGATCATGATCCCATAATGCCCAGAAACAACCCCAACAGCTTACTCATACATTGGCTTCTCCTCCTCCCTGTCTTACCTCCCTGCTCCCTCATTCCTGCTTCCTGGGGTCAGGTAAATCACCTGGACCCAGGTCCTTGTCTCAGGCTCTACGTTCAGTGTTTCTCATGCTGTATTCCTCGGAACCCCAGGGCACCTTAGGATGTGTCTACCCCTCTCTCACCTGCATTTGATTTAATGCTCTGTTGTCATCATCTTGAAATGTTTAATAAATTTTGAACAAGGGGCCGCATATTTTCATTTTGCATTGTACCCCACAAATGAAAAAAAATAATACAAAAAATTAGCCAGGCGTGGTGGCGGGCACCTGTAATCCCAGCTACTTGGGAGGCTGAGGCAGGAGAATAGTGTGAACCCGGGAGGCGGAGCTTGCAGTGAGCCAAGACTGCACCACTGCACTCCAGCCTGGGCAACAGTGCGAGACTCCATCTCAAAAAAAAAAGAAAACTGCTCTTATCCCAATTTTCAAGAATACAATACATTGTTAACTATAATTGCCACATTCTGCAATAGATCTCTTGAAGATAGTCATCTTTTCATTCTGAAGTTGGTGTCCTTTTACCAATATCGGCCTCAACTCTCCCTACACCCCAGCTCCTGGAAACCCCTCTTCCACTCTCTACTTTTATGAGCTCAACTATTTTTTACATCTACATACTAAGTGATGTTATACAGTATTTGTCTTTCTGTTCCTGACTTACTTTACTTAAAGTCCTCCATGGTGTGAGATAGTCTTCTGCATATGGCTATCCAGTTGTTCCAACACAACTGAGAATGGTCCTACCACTGAGGGCAACCTCGCATTTAGATAGCTCGTAGACTGAGTCCACTGCACAGATCTAGAGCCTAGGCTGTGAGATACGGCCTGGAGGCTTATCCATAGATACCAGTCTGGAGTCTGGTGTCTTCAGACCTGCCAGGCTGGGTTTTACTAGGTTGAGCCCAGTGTTAGGGTCTGAGGTAACATTTGGTGCTCATTTTCCCCTCTTTCTCCTTGTGGAGGGTACCTCTCACACGCTATGCTGCCTAGAGTTGTAAGAGGGGTGAAATGGAAAATGTAAAACTGTCCTTCCTACATTCTTCCATGAGTCTTTTTCTTCTTTCTGTGTTATACCCAGATGCTGTATGCTCCCACCCTATTTCTTAGTTCTGGTGAGGTGTTTTAGTTCTTGGATGGTTGTTTAAATTGTTTTTGAGGGGAGACAACTGCTAGAGACTCCTATGATACTATTTTGCTGACATCCATCTGCAATTCCTTTCATTTCTATCTACAGCACACACACTTATGTCTCCTCTTTTATTCCTGATTTTGGTGATTTGTTTTCTCTCCCTTTTTTTGTCCTTTTAGTTATATTTGGTCAATTTTGTTAACTTTTATGAAATTAAAAAGGCTTTTTGCTGCATTGATTTTATCTTTTTTTAACCTTTCTGTATCGTTTCTGCTCTGATCTTTATTATTTCATCTTTTTCGTTGAGTTTTTTGTTGTTCCTTTTCTAATTTTTCTAAGGTGAAATCTTAGATGCTGTGAAATCTTTTTTTTTCTGATATAGTGTTTAATAAATGAATTGCTTTAACTATATTTCATACATTTTAATTTTTGAGTTTTCATTTGGCTCAATGTATTTTCTAATTTTCTTTGTGATTTTTTGGTTTACTCTTGGGTTATTCAGAAAAGTAGTGTTTAATTTTAAAGCATTGAAGAATTTTTTTAATGTTTCTTCTGCTGTGGATTTCAAATCCCATTCCTTGGTAATCAGATAACTTATTTTATCATTTGTTAATGTATTGAAACTTATCTTATGGTATGGAACATTACATGAGCAGGAAAATGTTTTATATGCATTTGAAAAGAATATGTATTCTGCATTCATTTGGTGAAATAATCTAAAGATGTCCATTAGGTCAAGCTAACTGATAGTGTTAGTCTTCTATATCCTTTATGGTTTTTATACTAGTTTTTCTATTAATTACTGAGAGTAAATTATTGAAATCTTCACCAGTTGTTATTGAGTTGTCAGTTTTCCTTTTCTTAATTCTTTATGTATTGTTTTCAGTATTTTGAAGCCCTGTTGTTAGGTGAAGATACACTAATATTGTTATTTCTTCTTGACATATTGAACCTTTCTTTCATTATGAAATATTCCTGTTATTCTCACATAGCAGTTCTTGCCTTAAAGTATCTTTGGTCTAATATTAATATATCTACTTGAGTTGTCTTATGGTTACTGCTTGCATAGTATATATATTTTTATTTCTACTTTGGGTTTATTTATGCTTTGAATCTAATATATGCTCTCCTATAGGTAGTGATAACCGAATCTTCTTCTTTACCCAGTCTGTCTGACAGTCTCTGACTTTTCATTTGGGTTTTCATTATAACATTTAATGCAATTATTGATATAGTTTTACTTAAATTTACCATTTTGCTATTTGTTTTCTATATTTCTCCTGTCTTTTTTGATGTTGTTATTTTCTGCATCCTTAACTGGCTTCCTTTGTGTTAAATAAATATTTTCCAATGTAGATTTTTAGTTTTTCTCTTTTTCAGCTGTATGACATTAGTACTCTTCCTAGTGCTTGCTCTAATGATTACAATATGCATCTTGTCCTATCACAGCCACCTTCTGATTAATAGTAACTTAATTCCAGTAAAATACAGAAACTTCCCTTCAATATTGCTTCATTTTCTTCATCTTTGGTTATCATTTTGTCATATATCTCACATGCATATATGTCATAACCTATTAATATAGTATTGAATTACTTTGTAATAAACTTAATGTCTTTTGAAGTTATTAAGAAAATACTTTGGGAAATAAACTATAGATTCTTTTATCTTAACTCACATTTTATAGTATTTCCATTTTGTTTAGGTTTATTATGAATTTGGGTAAATCTTTGGAGGAAATTAATTTCAACTGAAGAAATTTTAAAAACTATTTTTGGGAAGAAATATTTATGGGAAGAAATATTTTGCAGGGGCTCACACCTGTAATCTCAGCAATTTGGGAGGCTGGGGCAGGTGGATCACCTGAGATCAGGAGTTCAAGACCAGCTGGCCAACATGCAGAAACCCCATCTCTACTAAAAATACAAAAATTAGCTGGACATGGTGGCACGTGCCTGTAATCCCACCTACTTGAGAAACTGAGGCAGGAGACTCGCTTGAACCTGGGAGGCAGAGGTTATACTGAGTCGAGATGGCACCACTGCACTGCAGCCTGGGCAACAGAGTCAGACTCTGTCTCAAAAAAAGAAAGAAAAAAAGGAAAAAACATTTTTTCTCCATCTTCCAGCAACAAATTCTCTCAGTCTTCATCTGAGAATATTTTTTTCTTCATATTTGAAGAAAATTTTTGCTTTATATGGAGTTTGGAGTTGACAGTTTCTTTTAGTGCTTTCAATAAGTCATTCCAGTCTTTTCTCTCATCTATTATTTCAGATGAGAAGTCAGCTATTAATCATGTTGAAAGCATTCCTTATGTAATGATTAATTTTTCTCTTGCTGCTTTAGTTTTTTCTTTGCCTTGATTGTAGCCTTTGGAAGTTTTTCTATGATATGTGGGTCTCATATTAGTTATTTAACTTGGGGTTCATTGAACATAGATTTAGATATTAATATAGATGAAATATTAATTTTTATAGAATGTAACAATTTTTCCCCAATTATTTTTTTCTACTTGAAAATGTAGCAACATACATGTAATAGATCTTAAAACAGGTTTTAAAACCTTTTCCTCTCTTCTTTCCTTCTGGAAGACCTATTACATGTACATTGCTACATTATGACATCTGACATGTCTTTGAGGCTCTTTTTATTTCTTAAGTCTTTTTTCCCTCTGTTCTTTAAATCAGAAAATTTTTATTGATGCAGCTTTTCAGGTTCAATGATCTTTTTGTGTGCTGTGGAGCACTTTTAGCAAATATTTCATTATTGTTATTTTACTTAAAATTTTCAGAATTTTTATTTCCTTATCATTTCTATCTCTCGAGCATATCTATTTTTTGAGTCATTGTTTTTATACTTCAATTCTTTAAGCATAGTTCTCCTTAGTTTTTTAACCTATTTGCAATAGTTGCTTTGAAGTCTTTATCTTCTAGCTCCAACATCTGGGGTCACTTGGGGATATTTTCTATTTATTGTTTTGTGGGGTTTTTTTGTGTTTTTTTTTTAATCCCCCTGAGCTGTGGTATTCTATCTTGTTTCTTTGTATGTGTACACATTTCTTTTGTAAATAACATATATATATTTTAGACAGAGTCTCACTCTGTTGCCCATGCTAGTATGTAGTGGTGCGATCTTGACTCACTATAGCCTCGACATCCTGAACTCAAGCAATCCCCTCACCTCAGACCCCAGACTAGCTGGGACTACAGCTCCGCACTACCATGCTCACCTAATTTTTGTATTTTTTGTAGAGATGGGATTTCACCATGTTGCCCAGGCTGGTCTCAATCCACTTGCCTCAGCCTCCCAAAGTCCTGGGATTACAGGAATGAGCCACTGCAGCTGGCCAAAACATACATTTTTGTTACTTTGTTGTTTCTGAGAATTCCCATCCTCTAGTCTCTACCCAGCAAGAAGTGTTTCTGTACCTTCATTTATTTACTTCCCTGTGGTTGCTAATGTCTCTGCTGTGTTTAAAGAAAGCTAAAATATAATTTTTAAGTGTAGGATCCTAGCTTTGTCCTGTGTGTCCATGTATCTTTGGTTTGCCTCTAATCTCGAATATAAGTTATGTTCAATCCCCTCAAGGCAGTAAGGCTTCTGTCGTCTCCTGATGAATCTATGCTTGGGTAAGTGAGATTGCCCAGATTAATTCAAAGTTAAGGCTGTTTAAAAATCTGCTACAATTTTCTCACTGATGTGTTGTTTCACTTATCCTTTCCATATGTGTGTGTCTTTAGCATGGCCAGGGTTGCATATAACTTACTCCTAGTTAAGTTAATATATGTAATTCCTGTTGTTTCCAGCCACAGTGCAGTAGTGCTTTTAAGATGGGCATCTGGGCTGGGCGCAGTGGCTCATGCCTGTAATCCTAGCACTTTGGGAGGCCGAGGCGGGCGGATCGAGACCATCCTGGCTTACACGGTGAAAACCCATCTCTACTAAAAATACAAAAGAAAAAAAAATTAGCTGGGTGTGGTGGTGGGAGCCTGTAGTCCCAGCTACTCGGGAGGCTGAAACAGGAGAATGGCATGAACCCAGGAGGCAGAGCTTGCAGTGAGCTGAGATCGCACCACTGCACTCCAGCCTGGGTGACAGAGTGAGACTCCATCTCAAAAAAAAAAAAAAAAAAAAAAAAAGATGGGCATCTGATCCAACACAGACAAATGCCATGCAAGCCTAAAAGTTTTTTATGTTAAAACTTAGAAGTTCTCCTTTCTGCTGGGGTTTATATCAGGAGAGTTACATTTCCTTCATGTACAGAGAATAAACTCAATGTAGAGGAATAGGGAGAATTTGGAGAAGGACATTGATCATATTTTTGTTTTTTGTTTTCAGATGAAGTCTCGCTCTGTTGCCCAGGCTGGAGTGCAGTGGTGTGATCTTGGATAACTGCAACCTCCGCCTCCTGGGTTCAAACAATTCTTGTGCCTCAGCCGCCTGAGTAGCTGGGATTATAGGCATGCGTATGTTTTGAAGAGACGGGATTTCACCAGATTGGCCAGGCTGGTCTTGAACTCCTGACCTCAAGTGATCTGCTCACCTTAGCCTCCCAAAGTGCTGGGATCACAGGCAGGAGTCACTGCGCCCAGCCCATAGACCAGATCTTGATGACAAGGTTTGAGTTTCAAAATTCAGCTGTGACTGAAATTGTAATTACCCTTTCCAAAGTTTTTTTCACCACTTAATCCAGTTTTATTTGGTTTATGTTACATACAACATAAAAGTACTAATACAAAAAGCAAAACTATTTGATTGTATGTGTAGATCCAGCTATTGGCTTTGTTCTTGAAAAAAAATCTATGTGGAAAAATTGTGTCTGGCATAAAGGAGACCAAAGACATTGCATTGGTACATATCTGCTAAAACAAAACAGTATTTGTGGTGATAAAGAGGAGTAGATTACCTAAAACCATTAAGAATGTAAACTAGCTGGGTGCGGTGGCTCACGCCTGTAATCCCAGCACTTAGGGAGGCTGAGGCAGGCGGATCGCCTGAGGTTGGGAGTTCAAGACCAGCCCGACCAACATGGAGAAACCCTGTCTCTACTAAAAATACAAAAATTAGCCAGGCGTGGTGGCGCACGCCTGTAATCCCAGCTACTCAGGAGGCTGAGGCAGGAGAATCGCTTGAACCCAGGAGGTGGAGGTTGCGGTGAGCTGAGATCGCGCCGTTGCACTGCAGCCTGGGAAACGAGCGAAACCCCGTATCAAAAAAAAAAAAAAAAAAGAATGTAGACCAAACTGTCCTGTTAGAGACTAGAGTTCAGAGTAAATGTAGTTTTTAGGACAATGACTGAGTAGATATTAGTAATATTATGGACAATGTGGTATAAGAGAGAAGACAGTATGGTTGGTGTTACATAATAAAAATTCTTAGTTGTTGGTCCTTGTTGCTCCTTCACTACTGAATGTATTAAACTGCATTTAAGTGACAAAGTTGGGTAAAAGTAGGGAATTGGAAATCAGTTGCACATATGTGTGTCAAACTTAAGGAAGTGAATGAAGTCAGTTACAGTTAATGTCTAAAATGAAAAGAGAGCAACCTTAAGAAGTACGTAGGCCGGGTGTCGTGGCACATGCCTGTAATCTCAGCACTTTGGGAGGCCAAGGCAGGTGGATCACTTGAGGTCAGGAGTTCAAGACCAGCCTGACCAACATGGTGAAACCCCATTTCTACTAAAAATACAAAAAATAGCCGGGCATTATGGTGGGCGCCAGTAATCCCAGCTACTCGGGAGGTTGAGGCAGGAGAATGGCTTGAACCCGGGAGGCGGAGGTTGCAGTGACCCGAGATCACGCCACTGCACTCCTGGGCAACAAAGTGAGACTCCTTCTTAAAAAAAAAGAAAGAAAGAAAAATATCTATACTTGTTTAGTACACTTGTTTGCTTATACCCTCAGCAAAGGCCGCGTAAACATCTTGAGCACTATTATTCATTCATCTTTGATTCTTCAAAATGTGACATAATGCCTGGAGAATAAGTTTATATATATATGTTTTCTTGTTTATTTTTGTGATTTTCTTTTTGTTTAGAAGTGGGGTCTTACTCTGAAACCCAGACTGGAGTGCAGTAGTGTGATCCTAGCTCAGTGCAGCCTCAGTCAAACTTCTGGGCTCAAATTCTCCCACCTCATCTTCCCAAGTAGTTGGAACTACAGGCTCATGCCACCATGCTTGGCTAATTTTTTTTTATTTTATTTTTTGTAGAGATGCGGTCATGCTATGTTGCCTAGGCTGTACATCTGTTTAATAAATCAAAGAAGCACTAATTATTTAAATCATTTCATGGAGAGCCATATACGTTTGGAGAAAAACAAATTGTCAGTCACTTCTTTTCCTTCTAAACATGTCCCATCTGCAGAAACCAGGAGCCTCTTCCACAGGGATGAAAGCTATTTCTACTTTTAAGGGAACTTGGAAATCTCACATGAGTCTTCTGGGATGATTGCCTTGAGTCTTATCTTTGCTTTTTTGTCTTTCACACTGTCACCATCTCCATTCTCAGCACATTAGGAACCGGGGGAAATGTGATGAAGCTTTATAAGTGAGGAGAGACTCTTTCTTTCTTAATTGATGTTTTCTCTCTTCTTCCTAGGGTGTGGATGGCGTCATAAAAAGGTATGTGTGGGAGGACAGAGATGGTCCTTTTGTGCAGTGAGGAGAGATTTATAGCCATTAGAATTGTCCTGGGTTTAATTAGAATAAAACATCTCCCAGGGCAGAAAAATTTCGATATTGTTTTATCATAAATTTCTGGTCATAAATCAGCATTCGAATGTTCTATAACTATTAAGAATAGACCAGATTTGGCCAGGTGTGGTGGCTCAAGCCTATAATCCCAGCACTTTGGGACGCCGAGTCAGGAAGATCAGGAGTTTGAGACTAGCCTGGCCAACGTGGCAAAACCCTGTCTCTATCAAAAAAATACAAAAATTAGGGGGGCGTGGTGGCCCGTGCCTGTAATCCCAGCTATTCGGGAGGCTGAGGCAGGAGAATTGCTTGAATCCAGGAGGCAGAGGTTGCAGTGAGCCAAGACCATGCCACTGCACTCCAGTCTGGGCGACAAAGTGAGACTCTGTCTTAGAAAAATCAATAAAATTAAATAAAATTAAAAAAAAGAAAAGGAATAGACCAGATTCTATGGTAGAAAATTTGGGTGGTGGAGACTCGGAGTGTGGGTCAGTAGTGGTTTCAGGGAGAAGGTGTTGCAGTGTTGGACCCCTGCGCCATCACCATTTTATTACCTACATCTAGTTCTCTTTCTGTATTTAATAGGTTCTTGATTTATTTTGGATGGGCCATATCTTCTTTTTCTCTTATATACCCCTAATTGTCCATTGGGACAATTCCCACATGTTTATATTTTCCTCCTGGAAAAAGACCAGTTCCTCTTCATTTATATTTAGATTTCCAAAATCAGATGTTTATTTCCGGAATAATATTTCAAAATAATATTCTGGATAATATGTGGTCATGGTACAAAGAATTGATCCACCTCAGTTGCATTCTTTACAAGAGCATAAAAAGGTGCTATTCTTGTGTCTAAAATCGCACACCTCGCACACCTACGTGGTGGTATCAAGTTCTTTCTAACCACACGATATTCAGGCCAGTAATAGTTTAGTGCACATAATTTCTCATTTGCCAAGTGTTTGTAATTTTTCCCGGAAATCTGAAACCTTAGATGTTATCTGAGTACCTCCCTGCTGGGAATAGCTTTGAAGGTCTTAGGCCTCTCCAAACAGGATTCCTCTCTTGATATGTGTCAAACACCCAGGAGCCAGGTTCTGCAACCTCACTTTCTAACCATCTCCCTGGGAACTCAACATACATAGCGATGATGTTTCCACCCATTAAATGTTAGGGTTTCTTTTGTAAGGCACCAAAGTTTTGTTTTGTTTTGTTTTAAAATCCTTTTTTTTTTTTTTATGTCCTATGAGTTTAAGAATGTAGACAGGGAGAGGTTAATTATTTCATTTTAGAAGGAAGAAACTGTGCTTCTGAGAGGTTAAGATCTTCCCACGTTCTCACAGAAAGTAAGTGGGAAGGCAAACATGAGAACATTTTGTTTGCCTCCAGGGTCAAGAGTTTGCACTCTCCCTTCTCAGGATCCCCAAGAAGAGAGTTCAAGTGCCTCAATGGGTTGAAATGATAGGAAGTCAGGGGTGTTCCACGGACACAAGGTCAAAGGTTTGGAAGTTTTTTTTTTTTTTTTTAATTCTTAGGACGGAGAACGTGACCTTGAAGAAGCCAGAAACTTTTCCAAAAAATCAAAGGAGAGTGTTTCGAGCTCCTGATCTGAAAGGAATGCTAGAAGTGTTTAGAGGTGAGGAGAGCTAGATCAACAACAGGGTTATGGAATTCAAGTGGTGTTAGGGTGCTAAATAGGGAAGAGGGTGCAGTTTCCAAATATGGATAGAGGGGATAGGGGAGGATAGATATTGTCTGCTGCTGATGGGATTATATTTAATGGGAAATGGCTAGGTGGCTGTTTCATCTCATCATTCAGCAATTTACTGCCCTACCATAGGGCATACCTACTCTTTCCCTAATCTGGAGAGAAAATGAATTTCAGTGCTGACTCCTTTGTTTGTATTCAATATTGTGCATTTTTATCATTTCAGAGCTGACAGATGTCCGACGCTACTGGGGTAAGGAGAAGTCACATTATCATAAGCCACCCTGCGGCTTATCATTATTATTATCTTTATCTTTTAGAATTTTATGTTCTCTATTAGGCTCATGTTTTAAGATTTATGATTCTCCTTCCAAGACACACATAACTTACCCCTCCTTATAACTTCTAAACAAGGTTCCTCCCAGTTTTCTCTCAAGTCTTTATCAAGATTTCTCTCATATCACAAATAAAGTTACATTATATCCCTTAGCTGACCTGTTAATTTTTCTACAGTTGATGTGACAGTGGCTCCAAACAACATTTCATGTGCTGTCATTTCTGAAGATAAGAGACAAGTGAGCTCTCCGAAACCACAGATAATATATGGGGCACGAGGGACAAGATACCAGACATTTGTGAATTTCAATTATTGTACTGGCATCCTGGGCTCTCAAAGTATCACATCAGGGAAACATTACTGGGAGGTAGACGTGTCCAAGAAAACTGCTTGGATCCTGGGGGTATGTGCTGGCTTCCAACCTGATGCAATGTGTAATATTGAAAAAAATGAAAATTATCAACCTAAATACGGCTACTGGGTTATAGGGTTAGAGGAAGGAGTTAAATGTAGTGCTTTCCAGGATAGTTCCTTCCATACTCCTTCTGTTCCTTTCATTGTGCCCCTCTCTGTGATTATTTGTCCTGATCGTGTTGGAGTTTTCCTAGACTATGAGGCTTGCACTGTCTCATTCTTCAATATCACAAACCATGGATTTCTCATCTATAAGTTTTCTCACTGTTCTTTTTCTCAGCCTGTATTTCCATATTTAAATCCTAGAAAATGTGGAGTCCCCATGACTCTGTGCTCACCAAGCTCTTGAACCTTCTTACACACTCAGCCCCTTCTGTACAGCACCTCTTGTCCAGGTGCATCTCATACACCTGAACTCATTTGCATCATTTTAACCATCTTTTCCTTGCTGTCTCCCTTCTTTCTATTTGAACGTCCTTCACTCATCAGTAAAATGTAATAATTGCCTTGTGCCATATTGTCCCCAATATTTTATTGACATTTGATAGCAATTTTTTTCATCATTTTCCGTACTCCTAAGGAAAACTGACCTATACCTCATAAAATGAGACCGCTATTTAGGTATTACTTCTGCCAGATATTTATCACCCAATTGCCTCTGACACTGACTAAGAAGATGAAGAAAAGCTTTTCAACAGCCTTTCTATATCATCGTGTGATAATTGTTCACCAATGAATGAGTCCTTAGCCCTGTGTCAGTTTACCCTCGATGCCCTTATTTGTGAGTTAAAGAGAAAATATCATAAATGGTATACTCTTAAGTATAGAGGTTTTGTATCTAGAGGATCTCAGTTCAACTCCTGTCTCTCCATATACCAGCAGTGTAACTGTGAATAACATACTTAAATGGCTGTGCTTATTTCCTTTTCTTTTCTTTTTTCTTTTTTTTTTTTTTTGAGATGAAGTTTTGCTCTTGTTCCCCAGGCTGGAGTGCAATGGCACGATCTCGGTTCACTGCAACCTCCACCTCTCAGATTCAAGCAATTCTCCTGCCTCAGCCTCCCAAGTAGCTGGGATTACAGGTGCCCACCACCACCCCTGGCTAAATTTGTATTTTCAGTAGAGACGGGGTTTCCCCATGTTGGTTAGGCTCGTCTAGAACCTCTGACCTCAGGTGATCCACCCGCCTCGGCCTCCCAAAGTGCTGGGATTACAGGCGTGAGCCACGGCGCCCAGCCTGTGCTTATTTTCTTAAAATAATTTTTGTATTAAAAACTTCACATTAAATAAGTGCTAATGTTTTATTGCATAGTAGGGTGACTAGAGTTAACAATAACCTATTGCATATATTTTGAAATAGCTAGAAGAGAGGATTTTGAAAGTTCTCAACACAAAGAAATGACACATATTTGAGGTGATGGATATGCTAATTACCCTGGTTCGGTTATTACGCAATGTATACATGTATCAAAACATCACACTGTACCACATAAATATGTATATTTATTATTTGTCAATTAAAAGCAAAATAAAACAAAAAACCTTCATCTAATACTTTGGATCATTGTGAAAAAATAAATTCCTGAAGTATAAAGCATCTATCTAAGTGTCTTGATCTAATAAGTACTTGTTCTACAAATTATTGAAAAACATAAACTCTGTTAATGTCTCATGGAACAGGTTGTGCCTTCAGGGAAACTAGGATTGGATTTACTAAATTCTCATTTTTTAGATCTCAGATACTACTGTCAAAATGACTTCAATTCTGCCTTCTATATATAATACACACATATATTTAGGATTTTATTGTAATTCTAGTGTTGCTACATATTAGTCTTTATCAAACAAACTGAATTATGTGGGAATCAGTTTATTAATTGTAAAAAATAATTATAATAAAATTAGCTGATGTAGTTTTTTAAAAGTTAAACGAGTTTTTTGAATAGCTTCACTCATTTCTAGCATGTAAGGGGTAATCCATTATGGTGTTGGGCTTTTTTGTTTGTTTGTTTGTTTGTTTGTTTGTTTGTTTTGAGACAGGGTTTGTCTCTGTCACCCAAGCTGGAGTGCAATGGCACGATCTCGGCTCACTGCAACCTCCATCTCCAGGGTTCATCCTTCCACCTCAGCCTCCTGAGTAGCTGGGACTACAGTCACGCACCACCACGCCCTGGTTATTTTTTGTATTTTTGGTAGAGACAGGGTTTCACTATGTTGCCCAGGCGGATCCCGAAGCCCTGGGCTCAGGCGATCTGCCCACTTTACCTCCCAAAGTGCTAGGATTATAGGTGTGAGCCACCATGCCCGGCCTCATTATGGTGTCTATTAATTTTTGGTTCCCTCTCACTGTGACTGAAAGCAATAATTTTTAACAATATGTAATAGTTCTTTTCAAAATTATCTTTCTCCCTTCGTTTGAAGAAATACAAGAACTAAGTTAAAAATCACAGATTTTTCTTGTAGAAAGTTTTAAAATAAGTGTTTATAAATGGGAAAAAAAATCTTTGTTCTTAATTTCATAGCTGCCTAGTCTTAAGTTGTTTTAAGTATTTCTGAGTACTCTAATTTCATTGTAAATTTTTCCTGTTTGCCAAGTAGTAAAAACGTATTTTGCACAGTGATGCAGATAAAGTCAGAAGTACATGTGGCATTTCTCAACAATGGTATCGATAAGTGAATTGTGAGCCCAGGTTAGCCTGACTCTTCATTAAAGTAACAAAGGCATGGTAATTTTCATAAATGACAAAAAAATACTTGTTCTCCTTGTTCAGTGAGGAGAATTATTTTTGCAACGGATGTTTATGAAGGGCATGGTAGGATCCCTATGTCTATTGGCATTTTTATTTCCAACTCTTTCCCAAGTTTTGAGCTGAAGTTTTTTGTTTTGTTTTAATGGTCTACCTCATCAAATAGTCTCTGCTCTTCACCCTGCTTCCCCACAGAAATTTTAAGGTCTCTATCTTTGTGGTAACTTTAGTCAGAGAAGGGATTCCAAGGTGAATATTTTCAGTAACTATGTGTGTGCACACACCTCTCTACCTCAGCACCATCCAGGGAAACCGAGGAGGTTGATGCTATAAATTTTCCCTTTTACCTCTGCTTTCCTGTCACCCAATGCTATGAAGATTGAGGCTTTCACTCACTGGGAACAGTCTGGACTAGCTTGAATTATTGGCAAGTGACTCTCCAGGGACATTAATGCCTTTTCATTTCCTGGAAAGCCAAGTCCCACAGCTCAGGATGAAGTACCCAGTTACACAACAATAAAGACCTGAATTTGTATATACAACAGAAAAGATCTGCACACTGAAGGATTTTTTCAAACAGATGCTCCTGGCCCTAGTAATGAACCTCTCAGCTGAAAAGAATATGAAGCTTATGAATTGCTCTGAGTTACACTCCGTCTTCTCAGTAAAAGGCTGAAGAAGGCAACCTGTGCTCCAAAAGGCTAATGGACGTCAACTGTGGATTTTCTCTCTGCCTGTGTATCAGTTCTAGGATGTTCCCTCCCCATCACTTCTGAACCTCTGAGTAACAATTATGTCGTCTTCTATTCTGAGACTTCAGATCTATGCTGGGCCATTAATTAGGCATATCTGGCTAGAATTTTGGTACAATCTGGGGAGAAGCACAGAGAAAAGAGGTTGTGAAAAAAAACAGGGATTGCTTGAAGACTGTTCTGCAGGACACTGAGTAAAGAATGGGAGCAGGCCTCAAGCAGAAACCAGTGGGAGGACAAAGAATACGAAGAAGCAGAATGAGAGTTCGTAGGGGCTAAAGAGAAGGTGCCCTGATGAAGAGCCAATTCTAAGATTCAAAGGGAGAGAAAAGTAAAAGAACGTTTATATGATGTGTTGGAGGGATGGGATGGAATAAGCATCGGGCAGAGGAGAGCTCTTTGGAAAAGAGATCTCTTTGGTTTTTTTCTTTGGACATTGCAACCAATACTCCTTCTTGATGCTATACTTGTCACAAGGTAACAATTATGTTCTGAGCTCCTTGATCCTATTCAGTATCAATAAGATACATAAGTTAAATCTCATAATATGCCTAAACATATATCTAATCTTTTTTTTTTTTTTTTTTTTTTTTTTTTTTTTTTTTTTTTTTTTTTTTGAGACGGAGTCTCTCTCTGTCGCCCAGGCTGGAGTGCAGTGGCGCGATTTCGGCTCACTGCAACCTCCACCTCCTGGGTTCACGCCATTCTCCTGCCTCAGTCTCCCGAGTAGCTGGCACTACAGGCACCTGCCACCATGCCCAGCTAATTTTTGGTATTTTTAGTAGAGTCAGGGTTTCACCGTGTTAGCCAGGATGGTCCCGATCTCCTGACCTCAAGATCCGCCCGCCTCGGCCTCCGAAAGTGCTGGGATTACAGGCGTGAGCCACTGCGCCCGGCCTATCTAAACTTAATAATATCTTTGTATTAACCACCATACTCCAACACCACCATTATTTTCTTTCTGAATTATGTGGCAGTGCAAAACATTACAACCACACTGAAAAAAAAATCCGGCAGTTTGGTAGAGAAAGAAAGCGTAAAATCAATCAATTTAACATATAGTTAAAGATTGTCTAGAGTGAGCAAAACTGAGGTTCTATTTCCATTAATGAAGGTATATATTCTAATAAAACTGCATGCCCTCACCCACAGATCCAACATTAGAAACCTTGGACAAAATGTAAAAATCAAACCTGAAGGCACTAGAAAGTGACAAGCAATCAGAATATTCAGGGTAATAGACACTTAGAAAAAGACAACAGTATTGGGGGAGTTTCCTGTTTCTGTGGCTTTTCACTTGAAGGCAGACCTCAGTTGTTACTGGGTAGAACACTAAAAACTCAGTTAACAATATATGTACTTGCTGCTTTGAAAAACAAGAATGAGCCGGACGCAGTGGCTTACGCTTGTAATCCCAGCACTTTGGGAGGCTGAGGTGGGCAGATCACAAGATCAGGATTTCGAGACCAGCTAGGCCAATATGGTGAAACCCCGTCTCTACTAAAAACACAAAAATTAGCCGGGCATGGTGGTGGGCGCCTGTAGTCCCAGCTACTCAGGAGGCTGAGGCAGGAGAATCGCTTGAACCCAGGAGGCAGAGGTTGCAGTGAGCCGAGATCTCGCCACTGCACGTCAGCCTGGGCGACAGAGCGAGACTCCGTTTCAAAAAAAAAAGAATGATTTGTGCCTGCCATAGCAACTAGAAAATGATGGTAGAGTACCCGTAAAGAAGAGATATAGAGGAATAAATACCAAATTGTATAAACTCTAGTCAAGTCTCTAAAGTACATGTTTGAGACAGATGTGAAGCAGCCCAAAATAGGCTAAAGATTTCAGCTGCTGTATGTAGCAGGGAAAAATTAAGAATTTAATTTCAATCAAATTAACTACCTGAAAAAAAAAAAAGGCTTCAGAGAATTATACAGAATCCAGAACAGGAGCTTACAAAACAATAAAACCTGGGGATGGTAATGTTTCAGTATGTTCTATGGTCTGTACCATCTAGGCACTCAGTCACTACAGTTTTATTCTTAGTGCAGTTTACTACAGCAAGAATATTTGAATTAAAAGAATATGAATTACAGTTATACATTCTACAGCTTTGAATATACAGTGCTTTACCTGAGTACTTAGAATTTCCATGCAATTCTATAATTATTAGTTGAAGTTATCTTATACCTAAGCTCTAAGCATGTAGAATAATGACCCAGAACAACTTGACACCTAGCATCTTGAAATGCAATCTGATGGGGAAGACACTGAGTTATAAAGCTCTGCAAATTTGGGCTGACAAAATGAGTTATTAGTGAAATGAGAAAAGTTCCCTTGTTCCCTTTGCAGGGCATGCGACAGGGGGAATGGCTCGCTTCAGTGCCCTGCTGCTCAAAGCTCTAGGGGAGAATGCAGACGGGCAGGCTGTGGGGCTCTAACCCCACAGCAACCTCTAGGGGTGAGTGTTTACAGCTCCTGTGGGCCCCGCGGACATGTGTTACACTGTACTCTTTTTTTTTATACTTTAAGTTCTAGGGTACATGTGCACAATGTGCAGGTTTGTTACATATGTATACATGTGCCGTGTTGGTTTGGTGCACCCATTAACTCGTCATTTACATTAGGTATTTCTCCTAATACTATCCCTCCCCCAGGCGCCCACCCTACCACAGGCCTCAGTGTGTGATGTTCCCCGCCCTGTGTCCAAGTGTTCTCATTGTTCAATTCCCACCTACAAGTGAGAACATGCGGTGTTTGGTTTTCTGTCCTTGTGATAGTTTGCTGAGAATGATGGTTTCCAGCTTCATCCATGTCCCTGCAAAGGACATGAACTCATCCTTTTTTGTAGCTGCATAGTATTCCATGGTGTATAGTGCCACATTTGACCCAGCGATCCCATTACTGGGTATGTGCCCAAAGGATTATAAATCATGCTGCTATAAAGACACATGCACACACTGTACTCTTTCTAACAAAACTTCATGTCCTCACCCATAGATCAACATTAGAAACCTTGCACAAAATGTGAAAATCAAGTAAACCTGAAGGCACTAGAAAGTGACAAAAGCAGTCAGAATATTCAGGGTAATAGACACTTAGAAAAATATAACAGTATTGGAGGAGTTTCCTCTTTGCTGCCTGCAGGTGGCTTGTGTTTATCTGCTCTGACCCTCTGCCTTATTGCAAGGACAGAGGGCTTTCTGTATCCCAGGTTCTTGCCTTAACGTATCAGAAAAATTGGATCACACGTGGGCTTGGAGAACGAGTGCAAGGTTTTTTATCGAGTGGTAGTAGCTCTCAGCGAGGTGGATGAAGAGGCCAGAAGGAAGATGGAGTAGGAAGGTGGATTTCCCTGGAGTTGGGCCACCCAGCAGCCAGGCTGTCCTCTGACATCCCCGACCAATCTCTGCATCGGTCCATTGGTCGCTGGCCTTCCAGCATGTGCTGGTGCCTGTTGGTGTGTTCTTCTACCAATTTGCTACTCTTAACATTCAGTTGCTTGTGTCTCTTCCTGCTATAGGCACAGGATGGGGGCATAGCAGGCCAGGGTGATCTTGGAAAATGCAACATTTGGGCACAAAAACGGAAATTCCTGTCCTCACCTAAGTCTGTGGGCCCAGGCCCCAGGAGTGGAGGCTTTGTCAGGGACCGTGCCTTTCTCTTTTCAGCACTTCCCTGCACCCCTCTCATATAATTAGCAGCTGTCATTCTGAATGGGAAAAATAAACTTATTTTTCTAAATAAAAGGATTTTGCCAGACATGGTGGCTCAGGCCTGTAATCCCAGCACTTTGGGAGGCCGAGGCTCTCAGATCACTTGAGGTCAGGAGTTAGAGACCAGCCTGGCCAACATGGTGAAACTCTGTCTCTACTAAAACTACAAAAATTTGCCGGGCATGGTGGTGCAGGCCTGTAGTCCCAGCTATTCCAGAATATAATACAATATAATATATATATATATTTATATATATTATATTATAAATATATATATATTATATTATAAATATATATTATATATAATATATAAATAATATATATAATGCATTATATATAATATATAAATATATATTATATATAATGCATTATATATAATATATAAATAATATATATAAATGCATTATATATAATATATAAATAATATATATAATGCATTATATATAATATATAAATATATATATAAATGCATTATATATAAATATTTTATATATATATACACTTTAAGTTCTGGGATACATGTGCAGAACGTGCAGGTTTGTTACACAGGTATACACGTACCATGGTGGTTTGCTGCACCCATTAACCTGTCATCTAAATTAGGTATTTATCCTAATGCGATCCCTTCCCTAGTCCCCCACCCATCGAAGGCCCTGGTGTGTGATGTTCCCCTCCCTGTGTCCATGTGTTCACATTGTTCAACTCCCACTTATAAGTGAGAACATGCAGTGTTTGGTTTTCTGTTCCTGTGTTAGTTTGCTGAGAATGATGGTTTCCAGCTTCATCCATGTCCCTGCAAAGGACATGAACTCATCCTTTTTTGTAGCTGCATAGTATTCCATGATGTATATGTGCCACATTTTCTTTATCCAGTCTATCATTGATAGGCATTTGGGTTGGTTCCAAATCTTTGCTATTGTGAATAGTGCTGCAATAAACATATGTGTGCATGTGTCTTTGTAGTAGAATGATTTACAATCCTTTGAGTATATACCCAGTAATGGGATTACTGTGTCAAATGGTATTTCTGGTTCTAGATACTTGAGGAATCGCCACACTATCTTCCACAATGGTCGAACCAATTTATACTCCCACCTACAGTGTAAAAGTGTTCCTATTTCTCCACATCATCTCCAGCATCTGTTGTTTCCTGACTTTTTAATGATCGCCATTCTAACTGGAGTGAGATGGTATCTCATTGTGGTTTTGATTTGCATTTCTCTAGTAACCAGTGATGATGGGTTTTTTTTCAAATGTTTGTTGGCCGCATAAATGTCTTCTTTTAAGAAGTGTCTGTTCATGGCCTGTCGTAGTGGCTCACGCCTATAATCCCAGTACTTTGGGAGGCCGAGGTGGGCGGATCACCTAAGGTTGGGAGTTCGAGACCAGCCTGACCAACATGGAGAAACTCCATCTCTACTAAAAATACAAAACTAGCCGGGCATGGTGGTGCATGCCTGTAATCCCAGCTACTTGGGAGGCTGAGGCAGGAAGAATTGCTTGAACCTGGGAGGCAGAGGTTGCAGTAAGCCAAGATCACACCACTGCACTCTGGTGTGGGCAACAGAGCAAAACTCTTTCTCAAAAAAAAAAAAAAAAGTGTCTGTTCATATCCTTCGCTCACTTTTTGATGGGGTTGTTTTTTTCTTGTAAATTTGTTTAAGTTTTTTGTAGATTCTGGATTTTAGCCCTTTGTCAGGTAGATAGATTGCAAAAATGTTCTCTCATTCTGTAGGTTGCCTGTTCACTCTGATGATAGTTTCTTTTGCTGTGCAGAAACGCTTTTGTTTAATTAGATCCCATTTGTCAGTTTTGGCTTTTGTTGCCATGGCTTTTGGTGTTTTAGTCATGAAGTCTTTGCCCATGCCTATGTCCTGAATGGTATTGCCTAGGTTTTCTTCTAGGATTTGTATGGTTTTAGGTCTTATGTTTAAGTCTTTAATCCATCTTGAGTTAATTTTTCTATAAGGTGTAAGGAAGGGGTCCAGTTTCAGTTTTCTGCATATGGCTAGCCAGTTTTCCCAACACCATTTATTAAATAGAGAATCCTTTCCCCATTGCTTTTGTCAGGTTTGTCAAAGATCAGATGGTTGTAGATGTGTGGCATTATTTCTGAGGCCTCTGCTCTGTAGATTTATAGACCAATGGAAGTTTGCTCATTTTTACACAATTAATTAAAATGTAGCACTGAATGATTTTATATGTCCTGCACATACTTTTGTGCCCGGTTATCTATCTTATTCTTTTTTTGACTGCATATGCCAGATGACGTCACTAAAAACCGATGAAGCCTCCATAACATTGGTTCCTTACTGACGCTGAGGAGCATGGCAATCTTCACACCTTAACCAATGCTATTCATGTAGGATGACCAAGAAATGAATGTTTCTTACTGAAATAATACATATTTTGGCATCTTTTGTTACCCATAGACTAATAAACTAATCCTGGCTTATAAAATCCTTTTTACCTACTTATTTCTATTTGGAGGAACTCAAAATCATATTGGTATAATGATCCACATAACAATTTCAGTTTCTTGGTTGAGTGAAGTTTGCTCTAACAAACAATAAATTCATCATGTTTCTCAAATTAAATGATAATTATTTAAATTGTAGATAAATATTATTCTGGGAGGCAGGAAGTCTTTTTCTTTATTTATCACATACTACTATCATTGAATATTGTTCCCACCCAGCTCTACAACCAATGGTAAGTTTCCTAAAGGCAAGAAAAGGCCATTTCCTTTTTTTTTTTTTTTTAGACGGAGTTTCGCTCTTGTTGCCCAAGCTGGAGTGCAATGGCGTGATCTCTGCTCACTGCAACCTCCACCTCCCAGGTTCAAGCCATTCTCCTGCCTCAGCCTCCCGAAGTAGCTGGATTACAGGTGCCCGCCACCACGCCCAGATAATTTTTTTGTATTTTTAGTTGAGACCAGGTTTCACCATGTTAGCCAGGCTGATCTTGAACTCCTGACCTCAGGTGATCCACCCGCCTCAGCCTTCCAAAGTGCTGGGATTACAGGCAGGAGCTACCGTGCCCGGCCAGAAAAATGCCATTTCTTATATTGCAGTCAACATAAATGCTGTGGTACATAATGAAATTCTGCTATTTTTGTGGTGTTATTAACATTTAGGTAATCCTTTTTGACAAATTTTAACCTACAATTTTTCACATCTCCATTTTATTCCTGTAGTTTATCTGGATACTTACCTCAATGCATGTGGTTAATCTATCCACAACACAACACTCTAAGCACATTTTTCCTGTGCCGCATAGTGTTTGAAACTAGAAATAGTCAAAAGTGATTGGTACAAACCCACACTCACCCACATCTGCCACCACCAGCTCCCATGTATGCTGCCCAGGTGTTCGAAGACTAGCATGCCTGGCCCCTGGCACCACCACTGGTACTCACACGTGCTCCCCAGGGTCACAAGGAACATCCTGCCTGACATCCCCAGCAAAGCCTTACCATAGCCTCCACTAACAACCACAGCCTAAGCAATTGAGAAATTTGCAGACTGTACTGATGTTGAATACAGCCAAATAAATTACATGAACACTATACCACTGTGCCTACCCAGTCAAAGCCTCAGTACCCTACTCAATCAAAACTGTAGAGTTATCTGAAGCAAAAAGTATTTTTCTATGAAAATCTGTAAAACTGGAAGAAATGACTATTAACCAGATGTGTAGATATCAATGTAAGAACAAAAGAAACAAAAAAAGCAAGAAAACATGATACCTCCAAAGGAACACAATTCTTCAATAAAAGGTTTCAAGGAAAAAATATCTATGAAATGCCTGAAAAATTATTCAAAATCATGATTTTATGGAAACTCAGTGAGATGCAAGACAATACAGGTAGGCAATAAAAAGAAATCAGGAAAACAATTCATGATCTGAATGAGAAATTCAACAAAGAGACAGACACCATAAAAAGAGCCAAACAGAAATGTTAGAAGTGAAGAACTCAAGGAATGAAATAAAAAAATATACACTCTAGAGCATTAACAATAGACTAAATCAAGCAGAAGAAATAATTTCTGAATTGACACAGGTCTTTTAAAGTAATTTACTCAGATAACAAAAACAAAAAACAATACTAAAAATAAAGAAAGACTACAGGACATATGGAACTGTATTAAATAAAACAGTTTTAGCCGGGCGTGGTGGCTCACACCTGTAATCCTCACACTTTGGGAGGCCGAGGCAGGTGGATCACGATGTCAGGAGTTCGAGACCAGCCTGACCAACACGGTAAAAACCCTGTCTCTACCAAAAATACAAAAATTAGTCGGGCATGGTGGTGCGCACTTCTAATCCCAGCCACTCAGGAGGCTGAGGCAGGAGAATCGCTTGAACCCGGGAGGCAGATGTTGCAGTGAGTCGAGATCACTCCACTGCACTCCAGCCTGGGTGATAGAGCAAGACTCCATCTCAAAAAAAAAAAAACAAAAAAAACAAAAAAAAATCGGAAAAAACAGTTTGCCATTTTGGAAATTCCAGAAGGAGGATAGATGAGAGAAAGCAAGGAAAATCTATTTAATGAAATAATTGATGAAAAATTCCCAAGTCTTGCAACAGATATAGATATCCAGATATAGGAAGCCCAAGGACTAACACATATGTTCAACCCAAAAAGTCTTCTTCAAGGCACATTAGATTCAAACTATCAGGAATGCAATCCCATTCACAACAGCCACAAAAAGAAGAAAATACCTAGGAATACAGTTACGCAGGGAGATGAAGGATATCTACAATGAGAATTTGAAAACACTGCTCAAGGAAATCAGAGATGGCCGGGTACAGTGGCTCATGCCTGTAATCCCAGCACTTTGGGAGGCCGAGGCGGGCAGATCACAAGGTCAGGAGATCGAGACCATCCTGGCTAATATGGTGAAATCTCGTCTCTACCAAAAATACAAAAAATTAGCCGGGTATGCTGGTGGGCACCTGTAGTCCCAGCTACTTGAGAGGCTGAGGCAGGAGAATGGCATGAACCCAGGAGGCTGGAGCTTGCAGTGAGCTGAGATCACGCCACTGCACTCCAGCCTAGGCAACAGAGCGAGACTCTGCCTCAAAAAAAAAAAAAAAAAGAAAAAGAAAAAGAAATCAGAGATTAACACAAACAAATGGAAAAACATTCTATGCTCATGGATTGGAAGAATCAATATTGGTAAAATGGCCATACTACCCAAAGCACTTTACAAATTCAGTGCTATTCCTATCAAACTACCAAGGACATTCTTCACAGGACTAGAAAAAAACTATTCTAAAATTCATATGAAATAAAAAAAGGAACCCAAATAGCCAAGGAATTAGAATGCAAAAAGAACAAAGCTGGAGGCATCAATTACCTGACTTCAAACCATACTACAAAGCTACAGTAACCAAAACAGTATGGTACTGGTTTAAAAGCAGACATATAGACTGATGGAATAGAACACAGAGCCCGGAAATAATGCTACAAGCCTGCAACCATCTGATCTTAAACCAAGTTGACAAAAGCAAGAAATGGAAAAAGGACCCCTTATTCAATGAATGGGCTGAGATACCTCGCTTGCCATATGCAGAAGATTGAAACTGGACCCCTTCCTTATATCATATACAAAAGTCAACTCAAGATGGATTAAAGAATTAAATATAAAACCTAAAACTTATAAAAACCCTAGAAGATTACCTAGGTAATACCATTCTGGACACAGGCCCTGGCAAAGATGTCATGACAAAGACTCCAAAAGTAATTGCAACAAAAACAAATGTTGACGAATGGGATCTAATTAAACTAAAGAGCCTCTGCACAGCAAAAAAAACCAAAACCAAAAACAAAAACAAAAAACGGAGAAAATACACAACCTACAAAATGGGAGAAAATATTTGTAAATGATCCACCTGACAAACGGTTAATATATAGGTTCTATAAGTAACTTCAATAAATTTACAAGCAGAAAACAAACAACCCCATTAAAATATGGGCACAGAACATGAACAGACACTTCTCAAAAGAAGACATACACGTGGCCAACAAGCATGTGAAAAAATGCTCAACATCACTAGTCATTAGAGAAATGAATATCAAAACCACAATGAGATACCATCTCCCACCAGTCTAAATGGCTATTATTAAAAAGTAAAAAAAATAATAGATGCTGGTGAGGTTGCAGAGAAAAGAGAATGCTTACACACTACTGGTGGGCATGTAAATTAGTTTAGCCACTGTGGAAAGCAGTTTGGCAATTTCTCAAAGTACTCAAAGCAGAATTACCATTAGACCCAGCAATCCCATTACTGGGTATATACACAAAGGAATATAAATCATTCTACCATAAAGACACATGCACCTGTACATTCATCACAGCACCATTCACAATAACAAATACATGGAAACAACCTAAATGGCCATCAATGATAGACTAGATAAAGGAAATGTGGTACCTATACACCATGGAATGCTAGATGTTCTTACTTATAAGTGGAAGCAAAACATTGAGTAGATATAGATACAAAGAAGGGAACAACAGACATCGGAGCCTACTTGAGGGTGGAGGTTTAGAGGAGGGTAAGAATTGAAAAACTACCTACTGGGTACTATGCTTATTACCCAGGTGATGAAACAATCTGTACACCAAATCCCAAAGCACACAGTTTACTTATATAAGAAATCTGCACATGTACCCCTGAACCTAAATTAATTAAAAAACTGCAGGGATCTTCTCAGTGAAATTTCCAGGGATCTGGTGGTGTGAGGTGTATGGAAATATCCCTTTTAAAGTGAAAAGGAAATTGTTGCATCTGGCCATGCCTACAACCAAAAGAGAGGCACAGGACCTAGTGACCCTCTTTGGATTTTGGAGGCAACATGTTCCTCATTTTGAGGTGTCACTCCAGTCCATTTACTAAGTTACTTGAAAAGAGTAAGATTTGAGTGGAAGCTGGAATAAGATAATGCTCTGCAGTTGATACAGGCGTTGCTAAATCTGCCCTGCCACTGGGACCATATGATCAAGCCAATACAATGGTGCTTGAAATGTCTGTGGCAGATAAGGAAGATTTTGGAGTATTTGGCAGGACCCTGTAGGTGCTATCTTCTGTAGATACCTACTATCTTTTTCAAGAAACAGCTTTTGGCTTTCTATTGAGCCTTGGTGGAGACTGAACACTGAACTATGGACCACGAAGTTACTATGTGACCCTACCTGGCCATCATGAACTAGGTATTAGCTGATCCATCAAACAACAAATTTGGATGTGCACAGTAGCGCTCCAACAAAAAACGGAAGTGTTATCTACATGAGTGGCCATAAGCAGGCCCTAAAACAAAATACAAGTCACACAAAGAAGTGGCTCACATGTGCATGGTCTTCACTTCTGCTGCACTATCTACTCTCACCCAGCCTGCAGGTATGTCCTCATGGAAAATTATCTACAATCAGTTGATGAAGAAAGAAAAAACTCAGATCCAGTTTACAGATGGTTCTGTACGATATGAAGGTATCACCTGGAGGAGACATCTATAGCACTAAAGCTTTTTTCTGGGATATCCCTGAAGTACCCCTTGAAGGAAAGCCCTCCCAATAGGCAGAACTTTAAAAAGTAGTGCAACCAATTGTTCATATTGCTTAGAAAGAGAAATAGCCAGACGTATGTTATATACTGAATCACGGGCAATGGCCAATGGTTTGAATAGATGGTGAAGGAATTGGAAAGCTACCTTAGTTGCACATTGACTACATACTGCATTCATCATGGAAAAGTCAGCATTTTCTCCTCACTGGAATAGACATTTACTCTGGATACAGATTTGCTTTACATACACACAACGTTTCTCCAAGAACTACCATCCTCAGACTTACAGAATGCCTCATTTACCACCATGGTATTCCACACAGCATTGATTCCAATCAAGGAACTCACTTCATAGGAAATAAAGTGTAGCAAAGGGCCCATGTTTATGGAATTTACTGAACTTGCTATGTTCCCCATCATCCTGAGCAGCTGTCTTGATAGAAAAGTGGCCCTTACAAGACAAACTAAAAGCACCAGTTAAGTGGCAGTATCTTCCCGGATTGGGGCAAAGTTCTTTAGGAGGGCATATATCCTCTAAATCAGTGTCCAACATATGGTGTTATTTTTCCCATGACTAGGATTCATGGGACTATAAATCAAGGGGTGGATAGGGGAGAGATACCACTCACTACTATTCCTAGTGCTCCACTAGCAAATTTTGCCTTCTACTTCTGCAACATTACGCTCTGCTGCCTTAGCGATCTTAGTTCCAAAAGGAAGAATGCTTTCACCAGTAGACATGACAATGATTTCATTGAACTAGAAGTTAAGACAGCCACCCAGCCACTTTGGGTGCTCATGCCTCTGAACCAACAGGCAAAGACAGGAATTACTGTGCTTGCTAGGATGATTAATCCTGACTATCAAGGACACTTAGAACAACTACTCCACAATGTAGGTTAAGAAAATGTATGTCTGGAGATCCCTTAGGGTATCTCTTAATATTATTGTGCCCTGTGATTAAAGTCAATAAAAAAAGACAACAACTCAGCTCAGGCAAGACGAGGAATGGCCAAGCCCCTTCAGAAATGAAAGTTTGGGTCACTCCATCAGGTAGAAATCGCTATCACTCGAGGTGCTTGCTGAGAGGAAAGAGAATATGGAATGGTTAGTGGAAGAAGGGGTACTATGAATAGATATTGGTAACATTTTATAGATAATCTGGTATAAGAAAACAGTGTGGTTGGTGTTACATAATAGACATCCTGAATTGCTGGTCCTCATGGCTCCTTCACTACTGAATATATTAAACTGCATTTAAGTGAAAACTGAGTAAAAATAGAGAGTTGGAAATCAAGTACAGATATGTGTATGTTGATCTTAAGGAAATGAATGAGGTCAGTTACAGTTTATATCTAAAATGAAGAGAGGGGCTTGAGAAGCAAACACCTATACTGGTTTAGTACACTTGTTTGCTTATACTCTCAGCAAAGCCATGTAAACTTCTTGAGGACAACTTTTTATTTATTTTTGATTCTTTGAATCCTGGCATAATATCTGACAAATAATTTTGCAAATTGGTTGAATAAATCAAAGAAACACTAATTATTTAACGTTTTAAAACATTTCATGGGGAGTCATACATGTTTGGAGAAAAATAATTGTAGGTCTCTTCTTTTCCTTATAAACACGTCCCATCTGCAGATACCAAAAGCCTCTTCCACAAGGGTGAAAACTGTTTCTACTTTTTAGAGAACTTGACAGCCTCACATGACTCTACTGGAATGATTGCTCTGGGTCTTATGCTTATTTTTTTTGTCTTTCACACTGGCCCTATCTCCATTCTCAGCACCTCAGGGACTGGGGGAAATGTGATGAAGCCTCGTGTGTGAGGAGAAGCTGTTATTTATTTTATTTTATTTATTTATTTATTTTTTGAGATGGAGTCTCCCTCTGTCGCCCAGGCTGGAGTGCAGTGGCGCGATCTCGGCTCACTGCAACCTCCACCTCCCAGGTTCACGCCATTCTCCCGCCTCAGCCAACTGAGTAGCTGGGATTACAGGCACCCGCCACCACGCCCGGCTAATTTTTTGTATTTTTAGTAGAGATGGGGTTTCTCCGTGTTAGCCAGGATGGTCTCGATCTCCTGACCTCGTGATCCACCTGCCTTGGCCTCCCAAAGTGCTGGGATTACAGGTGTAAGCCACCGCGCCCGGCCCCGAAGCTGTTATTTCTTAATTTATGTTTTCTTTCTTCTTCCTAGAATGTGGATGGCATCATAAAGTGATATATGTGGGAGAACAGAGATTGTCCTTTTGTGTTGTGAGAAAAGATGTGTAGCCATTAGAATTGCCCGGAGTTCAATCAGAATAAAACATCTCCCAGGACAGGAAATTTAGATATAATATTATTGTAAATTTCTGGTCACAATTTAGGGTTTGAGCATTCTAAAACTACCGAGAATAAATCGCATTCTATGGTATAAAATTTGGGTGGTGGAGAGTCACAGAGTGTGTGGATCAATAGTGGTATTAGGGATAAGGTGTTGCAGTATCAGACCCCCGTGACATCACCATTGCATTACCTCCATCTAGCTCTGGTTTTGTATTTAATAGGTGTCTCAGCCGGGCGTGGTGGTTCACGCTTATAATCCCAGCACTTTGGGAGGCCAAGGCAGGTGGATCACGAGGTCAGGAGTTCAAAACCAGCCTGGCCAACGTAGTGAAATCCCCTCTTTACTAAAAATACAAAAATTAGCCAGGCATGGTGGCGTGTGCCTGTAGTCCTAGCTACTCAGGAGGCTGAGGCAGGAGAACTGCTTGAACCCGGGAGGTGGAGGTTGCAGTGAGCCAAGATTGCACCACTGAACTCCAGCTTGGGTAACAGAGTGAGACTTTGTCTCAAAAAAATGATGTCTCATTTGCTATAAGAGAATTATATCTTGTCTGCCAAGCACCCCAAATTTTTCATTCAGACAACTCCTATATATTTATATTTTTCCTGTGGGTATAGAAGAGAACAGATCCTTCCTTGTGATTCTATTTAGATTTAAAAAAAGAGATATGCATTTCTGGAATAGTTTTTTTCCTTGGTGTAAACAATTGATTCATCTCAGTCAGATACTTTAGAAGAGTATGAAAAGGTGACATCTTAGTGTCTAAAACTGTACACCTACTTGACAATATAGAGCTTTTCTAAACACACAAAATTCAGACCACTATTAGTTTGGTATTCATAAAATCCCCTTTGCCAAGTATTGGTAATTTTCCCCAAAAAACATGGAACCTCAGATATTATCTGAGCACTTCTCTAGTGGAAATAGGCTTTGAAGGTCTTAGGCCTCTCCAGACAGGATTCCTCTCCTGATACGTCTCAAACACCCAGGAGCCAGGTCCTGCAACCTCACTGTCTAACCATCTTTCTGGTAACCCACATCCATAGCAATGATGTTTCCACACATTAAATCGTTTTGTTAAGGCACCAAAGTTTTTTTGTTTGTTTTTTTTAAAATCCATTATTTCTTCATGTCCTATGAGCTCAAGAAGGTAGAGAGGGAGAGATTAATTATTTCATTTTGGAAGGAAGAAACTGTGCTTCTGAGAGGTTAAGACCATCCCATGGTCATACAGAGAGTAAGGGAGAAAGTGGACACGAGTACATTTTGTCTGGTTCTAGGGTCAAGGGTCTGCCCTCTCCCTTCTCAGGGAACAGAGTTCAAGTACATCAGTGGGGTGAAATGATAGGAAATCAGTGGTGTCCAAGGGTTACAAAGTCAGAGGTTTGGGAGTCAATTTTTTTTCATTCCTAGGGGTGAGAATTTGACTTAAGCTAAAAACGTTTCCCAAAGAATAAAGGGAAGTGTGTTGAGCTTCTCATCTAAGAGGAATGCTTCAAGCGTGTAAAGATGAGAAGAGCTAGAACAACTAGATCTGCAGTAGTCTAGTGGTGGCAGGTGCTAGACAGGGAAGAGAGCAGTTTCTAGGCGTAGATGGAAGAGATAAGGGAGGATGGACATTGTGTGCTGATGATGTGGTCATATTTGATGGAGAATAACCAAGAGACTGTTTCATGCTATTATTCGCAAATTCATTGCCCTAACATAGTCCCCTCCTCTTTCTCTGTTCTGGAGAAAAAATTGACGTCAGTGCTGCCTCCTTTGCATATAGTCAATATTATGAATTTTTATCATTTCAGAGTGGACAGACATCCAGTGCTACTGTGGTAAAATGATATTTCCAAAAAAGCTGTGCCTCTGGTGGTTGGAATTCTGGGAAGAAACATGAGGGTGGTTGGTGTATTTGGGGATATGTGTGTGTGTACGTGTGTATATGTATATTTATATAATATACATGTATATTAAAATGTATACATTTATATGTATTATACATATATAATCTAATATATTTATGTGTACTATACATATGTATATATGTATTATATATAATTATAAATTACACATATGTTATAAATACATACACATATTAATATACATTTAATATACATGTTTTATATATCTATATATATATCTATATATATCTATATATAGATATATATATATATATTTTTTTTTTTTTTCCAGAAGACTAGATGAGATGAAGAGAGCAGTTGTCACATCTGGGTAAAAGTCTCATCATCAGGGCAAAGAACAGGTGGGAATGTATCCAGAGAATCAACATACAATGAGCAAAAGTGAAGCTTTTCCTAGACTTGACCCTCATCAAATCTCCTCTGTCCCCACTCTCTTCTGAAGAAGGAAAGGTAGGCCTGTCTTTTTTTCTTCCTGATTGTAGAACTGACCCAAAACATTAGACCTTCAAAAGTACTCTCATTCTATGCACTTGAACACATATAATTTTATAATGTTTACATCATTTTATTATTGTGGTTCTACGGAATTTTCTGCTTCTTCCTGATTGTAAGATTGTTAATTTTAACCTATTCATTTTACAGAGATTTAAAACCTAGCATTGAATTGTATGACAATGTTTCATAATTTTTTGGTGATCTATATAACAAACCACTTTTTTCACAGTTTTTTTTTTTTTTTTTTGAGACAGAGTTTTGCTCTTGTTGCCCAGGCTGGAGTGCAGTGGTGCAATCTCAGCTCACTGCAACCTCCGCCTCCCAGGTTCAAGCGATTCTCATGCCTCAGCCTCCCAAGTAGGTGGGATTACAGGGGCTCGCCACCACATCCAGCTAATTTTTGTATTTTTAGTAGAGACAGGGTTTTGCAATTTTGGCCAGGCCAGTCTTGAACTCCTGACCTCACGTGATCCTCTCTTCTCGGCCTCCCAAAGTGCTGGCTGGGATCCCAAAGTGCTGGCTGGGATTACCGGCATGAGCCAAGGCACCCAGCCTATCGTACTTTTTTATTGTTGTACTAACTTAAATTTTTTTTGTCAAATATAATCACTTTTTTATCCTAACATTAGCAGGAACAGGAACATCTCTGGCAAGAGTGGGAACAATACAGAGACAGGAGGAAGTGCCACACTCTTAAATAACCAGATCTCCCAAGAACTCACAGCAAGAATGTATTCATTACCATGGGGATGGTGCGAGGCCCTCCATGAGGCCCCCATGATCCAATCACCTCCCACCAGGCCCCACCTCCAACACTGGGGATTACATTTCAACATGAGATTTGGGCAGGACAAAAATCCCAACTATTTCAAGGATTCTAGTTAATATTGTATTGTCTACTGGGAATTTGCTAAGAAAGATTTTAAATGCACTAACCACCACCCCCCCGACACACGGTAACTATATGATACAGTGGATGTATAATTTACTTGGCTGTAGTAATCACTTTACCATGTAAGTGTGTATCAAAACATCATAGTATATATATCTTAAATATGTACAATAAAAAAGAAAAAAAACAGTCCCACTCTCAGTATAAAAAGTTCTATAAAACAAAACTAAAATTGGAGTGGTCTTAACAGTGGAGTCTGGGAACTTGAAAAATGAGACTTCAGTAAAATCAACTACTATTCCTCTGAAGGCCACAAAACTATTGCACAGGACATTACTACAGCTCACACTTTTTAGCAATCATGAGAGCAAATATTTATTATGTTCCAGACACTAAATCGATGCATTACATTTAGAGACACTTAGTTTTACACAGTGATCTTAATAGTTAGGTACAGTCTTAAATCCCAATTTATATTTCAGGAAAAAGAAACTGAGAAAGTATTCATCATGATTAGAAAACAACAGGCAAGGTTTGAGCTCAAATACTCTGGACATAAAATCTTCACTCTGAATACACATATTGCTCATATTTTCCTCTCCTTGATTCCTTGATGTACCTGGGGTATCCTGAGCAACACACTGACATACCCTCCAAGAACCTTTAGTTGATGTTGGTGGTGGTCATGGGGGTGGTTCCTATGGACTACCTAGGTAGCATGGATGGTGGCTAACAGGCTTTGGGCCTCTTCATATCAGTGATAAAGTGAAACATGGATAAATGGGAAGGCAAGGATGTTATACCCATACTGCTGTGTCTTTAGGAGGGATTAGGTAACTTTCTCTGAAAATATGAAAAAGAGTAAATGAATAAATAAGCATCTCTCATAACTCAAGCCAAATACACCATACATCTCAAGGATGAGTAAAAGTTCTAAAGAAGGGAAACCACAAGGAAGCAATGGTGTGAATGTTGCAGATGAGTCAGTTGCAGGAGATAAGTCAAGACAAAGGGTTGTAGGTGAAGAAATGAGAAAATTCAAGAGCTTGGTGGGCATAGAGTCATGGGAGCTGGACAGTTCCAAGGATTGAAATATGGATAAACAGGCTGAGAAAAGCAACATTTAGAGAACTTGTAAATGAGGGAGCCATGGCTTGTGACATTGAAAAATGAGACAATGCCTGCTTCATAGTCGAGGAAAACCCCAACACGGCAGGGAGGCACAGCCATGGAGAGAGTCAAAACCTCGGGATCAGAGGACAAAGACTCTTCAAAGACACCATACTTACATTTATTCTGTAACCCTATAACCCAGTAGCCAAATAGAGGTCTGTATTTGGTGTAAAGATTTTGACGATTTGCACATCTTCTAACAACATACTTCATATGGCGGGAATATGTTCTACAGTATACCCCCAGGATCCAGGCAGTTTTCTTGGACACGTCCACTTCCCAGTAATGTTTCCCAGAGGAGAAATATTGGGATCCCAAGACACCATAATTATAACACTGAAAAGGCCAAATTGGCACAGATATCACTTGTCTCTGATCTTCTGAAAGGACAAGATTCAAATTTAGGTTGACTGAATTCAGTGTGACATCCACTGCAAGAAAAAAAAAAATATATATATATGTATATGAATATAATCATCTGTGTGATATATATGATTAGGTGACAGATATGGAGTAGGTTTATCTAGTGACATGGTGATGAACGAACTTGGGAAGTGACTGAAAAACTTGCACTGATGAATTGGAGGGGTAAAACACTGGAGAAATGTATTTAGCAAATGTTTTGGGAGGTGCTGAGAATGCATGAGGCTAAGATCAGAAGATATCATTGAAACCATAAACTTCTGAAAGGTAATTGGAAAACAGTTATTTAAAGACTAACTTTTTCTTACCCCAGTAGCACCGGACAGCTGTCAGTTCTGAAATAATAAAAGATTCAGTGATGCTGATTAGAAACAAAGGAGTAAGCACTGATACCTATATATTCTTTAGAGTAGGGACAGGGGAAGGGAATACCATGAAGCTGTGAGCTAGTGAATTAAAAAGATAAACCAGAGACCTAGCCATTTTTCCTTACATATAAATGCATCCTCTTCACCACAGAATATTCCTTATTCTCTGACCTCCCTCCTCTCTTCTGTCCTCAATTTTAAGTTATCCCACCTAGACAGTTTATTACCTGACACCACAACAATCCCACATCCACAGTCTTTGTCTGCTTCTCCTCACCTCTAAACATTTGCAGCATCCTACTCAGATCTGGAGCATGGAATACAGTCTTCAGTTTCTTGGAAACCATTTTTGGCTTTTTCAGCCTCCAGATCTCACTCCTAGGGATGAAAAAAATTTTTTGACCCCCACATCTCTCATCCTGTGTCCATCCCTCCCACATCACTGGTTTCATCTCCTTCACATCACTGATGCACTTGAACCCTTCTCCCTGAGCCTGAGGAGGGGGAGAAGGGAGAGCCGGACCCTGGATCCAGAAGAAATGTGACTGTGTCTACTTTCCCTCTTATCCTCTGGGTGACCTTGAGAAGGTCTTCATTTCTTGAAAGCACAGTTTCTTCCTTAAAAATGAAATAATTAAACCCTCCTTTGATATCTAATGGAAATAATAAAAAATTGGATAAAACGATAGGAAAAGACTTTGCTACCTGTAGAAATGGTATGTGATATGTGGAAAACTCACTGCATCTCAGTGGGCCTTCTGGGAGGGGCCAGAGATGTGGTATTCTGAGCTGTAGATCCTGACTGTGATACGGGGCTCTGTAGGGAAATCCTGTCAGCCTGTGCCCGAGTTCAAAGCCTGAACTCCAGTGGAATGGCGCATATTTGAGATTTCAGATTCCTGGGAAACACGAACACTCGGCAAAGGAGAAGTTATGACAACCTAACTAAAAATGGTTAGAATTTTATGTCTTTGTAAGAAACTTGATGTTTCCAAGTGGGTTGGCAATGGTAGACACAAGGAACAAGGACTACACTTTTCCATAGGAGCTTCTAAAGTGTGTGAACTGGCAGAGATTAATTATCATCACCAGAGTCACAGCTACCGTCCTGAGGCTCGAGTCTACTTTTGGAAATCTAAAGAGAACCTTGCATAATGATCCGGTACCTTCTATTTCTAAGTAAGCAAAGTACATATAAAGAAGCTGTCTCCATGCCCTATTTTAGGATTTGACAAGGCCCTCCATGTGTATGACAAACACATATAAAATAAAAGATCCAGGGCTGGATGCAGGGACAGAGGATGAATTAAATGAGTGAAGTCACCGAAGTCTGACAGTAAAAGCTCTCATCCTTAATATCCTTTTTGGCTGTAGCTCTGAACTTCAACCACTGAATTTACTAACATAGGATCGAGTCCATTAATAGTTACGGAACACTCAAATACTCATCGGGGACCAGCAATTTAAGATAACGATACATCCAAATTTTACTACTCTGGGAGATTTTTTATTCCAATTGACCACCAAATAACTCTAATAGCTACAAACACTTCTTTATAACTCACAAGCACCACTCCTGGCCACCCATACGCACCATTTCATGATTCCACTCATGTCCTAGAAAGAAAAGAGAAAACATGAGTCAAAGTGTATAAAGACTGGTGTAAGACTAATGAAAGAAAGAAGAACAGTAGGAAAAAAAATGGAAAAATCAGAAGTGAGTTATATGAAAATGTCAACAAAATTGGCAAACATTTAGCTAGACACACCAAGAAAAAAAATCAGGAATGAAAGATGGGATATTACTACTGACCTTAAGGAAATTAAAAGGATTATAAAATGAGCAACTGTATGCCAACAAATTAGATAATCTTAATGAAACAGACAAATTCCTAGAAATACAGAAACTATCAATACACATTAAAGAACGCATAGAAAATATGAATAGGCCTAAAACATGTTAAGAGATTAAGTTGGAATTCAAAGACTTCCTACAGAGAAAAGGCCTCACCCAGATGGCTTCACTGGCTAATTCTGCTAAAGGTTTAAAAAGAAATAATATCAAAACTTCATAAGTTATTTCAAAAATAAAGAAGAGCAGGGAACACTTCCTAATTGATTACATGAGGCTCATCCTACCCTGATAAAGGACCCTGATAAAAGAACCAAAGACATCACAAGAAAAGAAAACCATAGACCAATATCTCTTATAAATATAAATACAAAATTCTTCAACAAAAATACAAGAAAATCAAATCTGGCAATCCAGCAAAAAGATTATACCTGATGGCCAAGTAGAATTTATCCCAGAAATGCAAGGTTGGTTCAACATAAAAAAAAATCAATTGATGTAATATACCATATTAATAAAATAAAGGATGAAAACCACATGATGATCTCAATAGACATGAAAAAAAGCATTCAGCAAAATTCAGCACACTTTCATAAAAAAAACAAAACAAAACAGGAATGGTAACAAACTTGGAATAGAAGAGAGGTCCCTCAGCCTGATAAAACACATCTATGAAAAACCTACAGCTAACATCATACTTTGTGGTGAAAAACTGAATGCTTTTTCCCGAAGATCAGAAAAGACAAGGATGTTTGCTCTCACTACTTCTATTTAACATGGTATTGGAGGTTCTAGTCAGGGCAGTTAGTCACAGAAAACAAATAAAAGGCTCTATGTTGGCAGTTAGATAGAATGAATAAGATTTAGTATTTGATACCACAACAGTGTGACTATAGTCAACAATAATTTATTATGCATTTAAAATAATTAAAATAGTATAATCTGAATGTTGGCAACACAAACAAATGATAAATGCTTGAGGTGATGGATACATCATTTACTCTGATGTACTGATGTAATTATTATGCATTGTATACCTGTGCCAAAATCTATGTACCCTATAAATATGTATACTTATTAAGTACCAATAAAAACTAATTTTTAAAAAAGCTTCTATATTGGAAAGAAAATAGTAAATCTCTCTCTTTTTACAGATGACATAGTCTTATGTACAGTCAGAAAAGTCCTGTTCTATCCACCGCCTATAGGCAACCTCTTCCAATCTTTTTTTTTTTTTTTTTTTTTTTTTTTTGAAATAGAGTCTCACTCTGTCACCCAGGCTGGAGTGCAGTGGTGCGAACTTGGCTCGCTGCAACCTCCACCTCCCCGGTTCAAGCGATTCTTCTGCCTCAGCCTCCCAAGTACCTGGGACTACAGGTACGTGCCACCATGCCCGGCTAATTTTTAATATTTTTAGTAGAGACGGGGTTTCACTGTGTTAGCCAAGATGGTCTTGATCTCCTGACCTCATGATCCGCCCTCTTCGGTCTCCCAAAGTGCTGGGATTACAGGTGTGAGCCACCGCGCCTGGCCTCCAATCTTAATTTTAGCTCACACATAGGTGCTGTTTTTTGTCAACCTTTATATCTAATCATTGTCTTTTGTCTGTAATCATGTTTCTATAATACTGTGGCAGGTCAGGTTTCCATTAGCAACCAGAACAATCAGTTTCCCTTAACCCTTTACTATAATTTTGATGAATGCGTAAGTTAAACATTAAAGAACTGGAAAAGCTGGTGCCTGAGTGAGTACCAGGGCTGAAATGTGAAAACAAACCCTTTAAAGACCCTGCCTGGGTTTTCTCATACCTTAAAGTCTGATCGAATAATAAAAGCATTCTTAGACATACAACTTGTACCAGGGCCCATTTAAGATTAAGAAACTTTCCAAGACTCTAGAGAAAGCTTTCTAGACCCCAGACCCTAGTTAAAGATAGATATAGATTGAAACACTCCTGCATGTAGGTGCACTCCCACGTGAAGGCATAGAGCTTAAAATGTATATAAGCACCAGAAAAAAAAAACTTTGTAACTCTGAGTTGGTCTGATAGTTACTCTGACCTTCTCCCTGTAACCAGTTGCAAAAATAAACTCCCTTCTTTTCCAAGTCTGTCTGCATCTCATTGGACTGTGAAAAAAAGCAGCTAGACTTCATTCTGTACAGGTACAATACTACATTCCACAAAGAAGAAAAAACGGCACCAGTAACTAAGAATATCTAAAACATAAGCTGTTCTCCAGCCATATTGTTTCCTTTCTTATGCCGTATTGTCAAACTGGTATCAATATTCACTCAGTCCCTGTCCCAGACACTAAAACATTTTATCAAGCCAGTCCATCCTTAACTTCTGTTAGTCATCTGCATTCCCCCATCATCACCACTGTGGGTTAATTTGTTTTGAGCAAGATGTACCAATATATTTGGCTTTAACTCTTTCATGACACCAGCTGGTGTACAACCAAATAAATGGTTTTGCTCTCTGTATTAGCATAGTTTTGTTGTTCAACAACTAAAATTGCCTTAACTGGGAAGAAAGTAAGGGTTGTGGCCAGAGAGGTATTACTTTAGTCACAGATGGCTCTGGAAGCTCAAACCTCTGTCACAATTCTGGCCTCTCTGTGCCTATTAATTCTCATTTCTTCCCTATATTTTGACTGTATTCTCAGATTTTAGTTGATAGCAACTTGAATCTCTTTATTTGAATTATCTTCACTGATATTATTTTCTGCTAAAAAGGAGAACTTCCCTTCACTGCAATGACAGTACAATTTTGTCACCCACAAGCATTCAGGATTGGGTCAGATGTCCAACTTAAAATAATCACTGTGTGGCTGGTAGGGATGTAAGGATTGGATACGCTGATTTACATATAATTAACTCATTCATTCTTGATAGTGCTGATTTTCTCAGGTCTAAACAAGTACAAGGATGGAAATAGACATGCTAGTCTTTCTTGCAAGAGTAATTCCAGGTGTTATTACCAGAAAAATGGGGAATGGATATTGACGAAACAAAAATAATGAGTACCATGTAGCCCAAACCCTAGCATTATGCAACAGACCCTTATAAGAAACCTGTAGGACAAATATTCTATGATTCCACTTACATGAGGTACTTAGAATAGGCAAAGTCATAGAGACAGAAAGTAGAATAGTGGTTATCAAAGTAGAGCAGTGGTGACCAAAGGGAATGGGGAGCTGTTTTTTAATGGGTACAGTTTCAGTTTGGGATGGTGAAAAAGTCCAGAGAGGGATCCCACTTAATGGTTGCACAGCAATCTGAATGTACTAAATGCCATGGAATTGAATGTGCCCCCTGAATCTAAAATTTTAAGAAACCTGGAAAAAAAATTTTAAATAATAGTAACTGCCATCTTCTTTCCCTCATTTAGCTACCTACCATTCCATCCTTTCAAAAATAAAAATGGCCAAATATAATAAAACTATTACAGAAAGCATTAAAAATCAAAGTATCTCCTTTATAAGGGAAACAACCTAAAATCTCATCTAATTTTTGCATCAGTTTTCAAGTTGAGCGTCTTTCTGTCTAGATCGTTCTTTGGCAGTAAGTGTTGAATGCAGCTCTTACGAAATGAGTATCAGTCCCTCTAGCAAACAAACAATGGATATATGATAACACCATCCATCCCGATCGCCATCATGAGAATCCATATAGAAAGAAAGCTGTTACAGGGACTCTCAGGAGATGGGATTGTGGAGGAGACATACCACAAATACAACAGCACATATCTTTTTTTTTTAGACTGAGTCTCGCTCTGTCGCCCAGGCTGGAGTGCAGTGGCGCCATCTTGGCTCACTGCAAGCTCCGCCTCCTGGGTTCACACCATTCTCCTGCCTCAGCCTCCTGAGTAGCTGGGACTACAGGCAGCCGCCATCACCAGCTAATTTTTTGTATATTATAAAATGCCCGGCTAATTTTTTGTATTTTTAGTAGAGACGGGGTTTCACTGTGTTAGCCAGGATGATCTCGATCTCCTGACCTCGTGATCCACCCACCTCGGCCTCCCAAAGTGCTGGGATTACAGGCGTGAGCCACCGCGCCCCGCCAACAGATTATATCTTAACATATTGGAGAGGAATAGCCAAAGTCCCTACTCAGATAAAAGAATAAGTTCCTAAGTTTTCCATTTGCCATTCTTTGAAGCTAACATCTAGAAGTGAAATGTTAATCCCACAGCATTTATAATTTTTGATCTACCAATATTTTTTTAAATTCCAAGTGACCAAATAGCAACTAAGACTGACTGAAATAGGACAAATGCCTGGACAAATGACATAAACACAGTGTTCTTTTGTGAAGGTGGCGATTCAAAGGGTTGTGAAGAGCTTAAGGAAGAACCATAAAAAAGGGCCTACGGAACCTTTTTGTTTTTGTTTTTACTGAGATGTAGTTCAAATACCATAAGATTTGCCCTTTACAGTGCACAATTTAACAGGCTTTAAAATATTCACGATGTAGTGCAACCGTCATTGCACAGTAAATCCAGATCATTTTCATCACTACAAATAGAAATTGTACACTAATTAGCAATTACTTCCTATTCTTCCCCAGAGCTCTGGCAACCACTAATCTAGTTTCTATATTACGGATTTGCTACTTACAGACTTTCATATAAATGGAATCATACAAAAAAGAACTTGTGTTTGCCTTCTTTCAATTATAATGTTTTCAAGGTGCATCCATGTCATAGCATGTATTATTAATTCATTATTTTTCACAGCTAAACAATATTACATTGTTTGGATATAACACATTTTGCTTATCCAATCATCAGTTTAAGGAGATACGAGTTGTTTTATTTATGAACAATACTGCTGTGAACTTTCATATATAAGTTTATGCACAAATATATGTATTCAGTTCTTCTAGGTATATAGGTAGGAATGGAATGGCTAGGCCACATGAGAACTCTCTTTACATTTCTGAGCAACTGCCAAGCAGTTTTTCCTAAGTAGCTTTACTATTTTACATCTCTACTAGCAATTCAAGAAGGTTTCAATTTCTTCACATCTTCCCAAACACTTGGTATTGTCCATCTTTTTTTATTATAGCCATACTAATGAGTGTAAAATACGTTTAGGAACCTCTGTTCCAGAGTAATCTTAAATTTAAACAAAAAAAGAAGACAAAAGGAAAAAGGAATTTAAAAAAAGCTGGGATATAAGCACCAGAGACAAAGCAAACAATTCAACAAATGAAAATCAGTTACTCTCCTGCTTCGTTCCAAATCTTAAAAAGGAAATATTTGGAAATTCAGCAAAGAAAGGAGAGCACTGTCTGTCTATATATTTGTCCATCTTTCTCCCCAAAAGGCTCAATATTCTATCACTTTATGTTTAAAAAAAAGTAACAGGGGGCTGGGTGCGGTGGGTCAGGCCTGTAATCCCAGCATTTTGGAAGGCCGAGGCAGGCGGACCACGAGGTCAGGAGATTAATACCATACTGGCTAGCACGGTGAAACCCCATGTTTACTAAAAATACAAAAAAAATTAGCCAGACGTGGTGGTGGGTGCCTGTAGTCCCAGCTACTCGGGATGCTGGGCAGGAGAATGGCGTGAACCTGGGAGGCGGAGCTTGCAGTGAGCCGAGATCGCACCACTGCACTCCAGCCTGGGAGACAGAGCGAGACTCCGTCTCAAAAAAAAAAAAAAAAAAATTAACAGGGAACATTTGCATAACAAATAAGCATATTTTAAACTTAAATAGAACACATTTCTTAAATGTGTATGCTCTTAAACCTGAAAATGCATGTGTTTACCTGTGACTAACCAGAGTAAAGAGAAGTCTGATGAATGCTTGACACTAGATCACATATAATAGGGGCCTAGAGACTATAACTAGATATAATGGATCTTTTCTGCAAGGTAAAATGTATTCCCTTACTTCATAAATTAATAAAAATGTCATTCATGTCCATGACATCTAGAATGGACGACAAGGCGGCACTGCAAGGCCAAAGAAACCCCTTAGTGTCACCACCAGGATGAGAACGCAAGGACACAGGAGGGAACTGTGTTCCCAGAATCTCAGATTGAGCGAACCTTCTTACCTGCAGCAGCTCCATTGTTGACCACTGACTCCGACACTCCACATCTGAGATGAGCTCTCTCACCAACTGCTTCTGCTGAACTAGCTCATCCTCAGCCTCTGCAAACTTATCCAGCGTCTTCTTTTCTTCTTCTTCCAATCTTTGCAGCTCTCTCTGCTCCTCATTATTTAGGATGCTTCTAAGCTGATCAAATTCTGTTTGTATCCTTTGTCTCTCAGTTTGTACCTGATACTGCAAGGATGGACAAGAGAGAGTTGTAGTAAGTTTGTCAGGCTAAGGCCTATTGTGCAAGGGATTAGGAGCCAGTAGGGAAATATATATATATATATATGTGTGTGTGTGTGTGTGTGTGTGTGTGTGTGTGTGTGTATTTATATTATCTGTATATATATATTTGTATTATCTATATATCGATTTTTTTTTTCAGGGAGTTCAAATCAGCAAGGGAGTAGAAGCAATAGAGGTACTTGGAGGGAAGCTATTTTTTCCTACTATTTTCCTTTCAGTACCTACCAAAACAATGACCTCAAACTGTCTTATCTAGGCCAACCCTGAGACAAAATATAAAACATAAGGCTTAGCTTCTAGATAGCTTTCCTGGATATTCATGACTGCCTGCCTTACCACACTCCTAATTTGAATCTTGAGGAAAACCATAGTCCTTTATGTAGTGTCTTCCACCAGAAGTAGTAGAGCCCCGTTGGAAAAGAGCAATGGAACACAGTATTTGCTAGCCTTCCTCATCATAGAGTCTATCTTTGTGCTCAGTTCCAGGTATGTATGTGTAATTGTAACATGTCCACTTTCTAGCCTCCACCCCCAACAGGGACAGGACAGAGAAGAGAACTAATCAAATGGCTTCAGGACTCATGCAATGTCAAGGAATAAAAAGGACGAGGCCTCCTTGGATTAAGGTCCTGTCAAGATTCCTGTCTCAGAAAACCTTCAGAATCTCCTCTTGCCTTCCAGGAAGTTTTCTCTTCTCTGATGTCAGCTTCCAGCTTCTCAGCTTCCTCCTCTTCCTTCTTCAGCCTCTTGAGGACTGCCTGGAGTTTCTCCTATGAGAAGGGAATCACACTACAGTCAAGCTATAAGCTTTCTTAGTATCTGGATAGAGGACAAACAGGGAAAAAATCAAGTTGATCCCAGAAAAAAGCAATTTACAGAAACTGTGAAGCTGGTGATTAGAATCTATGACATGGGGAAAATTTTGAGGAGATGAATGTATTGTTCATTCATTGTGATGAAAATCAATACCCCTCAAAAGGAGTAGCCTGATTCTGTCTTTCCTTAGAGTAAGTATTTACCCTGCAGAAAGTCCTTTCCTCTTATCAATGCTCTTTCCTCATTCAATCCACAATGTTCCTTAGCAATTATCCTGCTTAGAGAAGCAAGAGAGCTAACTTTGGGAAGGAATTTATCACTTATACAATGAAAAAGGAAAAAACAAGACAAAAATTTCTCATTCTTGGCTAAGAGACTGTACTCTAGGATCATCTGTTATGTAAATGAAAGGAATACACAAGAGTGTACCCCAGGCATTGGAAGCTGAGCACAGTGTGAAAGATGTACATGGAGAAGATCACGGGACTCAGAATTATGGTTCCACAGGGGGTAAAGAAGGATGAAAAGGGCTGACTCCTTTTTCAGACTCAGTCCGCCTGCACCCAGGTGATTAAAAAGCTTTATTGCTCACAAAAAAAAAAAAAAAAAAAGAAAGAAAAGGCCGGGCATGGTGGCTCACACCTGTAATCCCAGCACTTTGGGAGGCCGAGGTGGGTGGATCACAAGATTAGGAGTTCAAGACCAGCCTGGCCAAGATGGTGAAATCCCGTCTCTACTAAAAATCCAAAAAAAAAAAAAAAAAATTAGCCAGGCGCGGTGGCAGGCGCCTGTAATCCGAGCTACTTGGGAGGCTGAGGCAGGAAAATTACTTGAACTCAGAGGGCAGAGGTTGCAGTGAGCCGAGAGCACGCCACTGCACTCCAGCCTGGGCGACAGAGTGAGACTCTGTCTCAAAAAAAAAAAAAAAAAAAAAAGGATGAAAAGGTGAGATTTTCCACCAACTACCATCTTCTGCCCCATCTCCCTCCATCTAGGGCCCTACCTGACATTCCTTGAATACTTCCTCCGTGAGGACTGTGTGGTGACCACGGTGCTCCTGAGACCGCTCACAAAGCCAGCAAATGACTTTCCTATCCTCCTTACAGAAGAGTAGGAGTTTCTCTCCATGATGATCACAGAGATCTCTCTTCTTCCCATTGTCTGGGCTCAACTTGACCTCCTTGAGTCTCTCCACTATGTTGGCCAGATGCTGATTAGCCTGTAGATGTTCAAATGAGTAACTGATACCACACACAGGACAGCTGCTTTTTCCTCCCATGCTGGTCACTGCCTCCTTGTTGCTCACAGTGATGCAGGCTCGGCAGAGGCTGTGGCCACAGTCTAGACTCAAGGGTTCTGTCAACAGCTCCAGGCAGATGGGACAGGTCACCTCCTCTTGTACGTTAAGCAAGATTTTTGAAGCCATTGCACTGCTTCCCTGGCTTCTTCTGGTCCTAACTCCTGAGGCTCTCCTCTCTCTTCTGGTTAAAGACCCCTGGATGGCTGAGAAGATTGAAAGGGGATGGTATAAGAATGGTACAAATAAAAAGCATTCTAATTGCACAGACAATAAAGACTGGCCGAGACTGCAATATCAAAGAACAAAGAAGATGAGGAAGAGAAACCAAAAATGGCTGAAAGTGGTCTGGGCGAGCTGTTAATGCCTCAAGGCTTTTGCACTTGTTCATTACTCAGCCTAGAATTACCATCCTGTTGCTATTTGCATGACTTTCGTTTATACTTTTTTCAACTTTCTCCTTACATGTCCCTTCATCAGAAGGGCTGCTAAGACAAACTTAAGTACAGCACAACCACAAACTCATCATTCAGTGTACATTTGCCATCTTTCTTTTATTATCATTATCTATTTTTAAATGTCCACCTCTTCTTTCTAAAACATAATCTACATGTAGATTAGGCACTTTTGTCTTTTTACTGCTATAGCCTCAGTGTTTAGAACACAGAGAAGCACAATGTTTGATAAACATATAAAAAAAACTTCCCTGTCTCTCCACAGATGACTAAAACTTTATCATTGTTTCATTATCTTCCTTCCATTATTTGGAAATTCTTCAATAGCTGAACTTTAGAACCCCAGATGTGGTTTCCAGTGAAGAAGTGCTCGCCTCCTAACACATCTACCCACACAAAATCCTCCCATGCCCTCACAGACTTTCCAGAGATACCGACAGAAACAGCAATGACCACAATATGGAGATTTCATTACCAGTTACAATTTAAAAATCACTTTGGCCTGTTTGTTCCTCCTTCCAAAATTCTTGAGAAATAAGAGTACTCCCTTTCTTCAGATGAATAAATAAAATTAAATGATTTACAAAGATCACCCAATTCGATGGTAGAATTGGAGTGAACATAATACCCTCAGAGTTCTCTTTCAGAGGTCTCCATGCTACTCCACTTATTTAAACAAAGAAAAGCCGAGGTAAAGCCTGAAAGAAGTAGATTGGGATCCAGGGTTATGAGAGTGTAGAAATGGAGGAAACCACATAAGTTGGGAATTTCTGGGGGGGTCTTGTGTTTGTAGATGGTAGGATTTCTTCTTGGCCTGAAGGATGTTACAGAGGTTGATAGGAACCCAAAGGTGTGTATTCGTTGGGGGAGGGGTGTAACCAGCTGAATTACACATAGATCACAGATTCATACCAATGTCAGATCATCGAGGAATAGAAATAGCAAGGAGATGGCTGTTGGCCATGAGAGAGATGTCCCAATACATAAAGGGAGACCACATTTAGGAGCGATGAAGTTCTGTCTGTGTTAAATCCACATCCACTAATTGAATGCCAATTATTCATGTGTTTATTTTGGAAATTCTCACTGAAGACATATTATCTTCCGTGATTAAAATTCAGGAAATGGATTAAAATCCAAAGTTGAGTAATGAACAGATGGTATTAGCCAGAATAAAGTAAACAGTCACCTAAGAAGATAGAAGCTAATTATATAATCATTCATAAAATGTAAAATGGTAGGTGTAAAAAACACCATCATAGAGAGGTATAGGTTTTTAGAAGACCAAATAATGTGCTAAATAGAGAACTATCCAAGATATCTTGCTTGGATAAGTAAGAGTTTAATGAAAGCTGAATAATGAGAAAGGAATACAGAATGAGAAAGAAAACAAATATTTTAGGCAGAAGGAATCATGGAAGTGAATGCCCCGTTCATGGAGGACATAGCATCATAACATGTTCGAAAGTTTTTAAATGTGTGGCTGATATGCAAAAAGCCCTAGGCCTTGGCCTCACATGAGCCTAGAGGAACCTGGATATGTGACACTTCCTAAATGAAGTAAAAGTGACAGTCTCTTTCCAATGAATAGGAGGTGGGGGCAGGGATGGGAGGATGCAGGACAAGTTAACAGAGAGAAGCAGATGAGGGTGGGAAGTAGGGTAAGGTAAAGGAAATAAGATTGGAAGTCAGACTAGACATGTGGGGGAAAAAAAGGTTATCATTAGGCTTAAGTCCTTTCTTCCTATAAAAAACACATCGCCATCACCATCCCCTGGTATATTATTTTATTTTTATTCTTTTTGGTAAGCACAGACCTCATTTTCCGTAAGAGGATTGAGACTCTTGTAACAAAATATTCTCTGTAGGGCCCTGGAAGCTATGTTCATGGTCTTTACAAGGGAATCAATCCGTTGATGTAAGATTTACCTAAGCTACGTTAGTTTCACACGCATCCACATGGTCACATGGTCTTGTACCACCGTAAGAATCCTCACTGAGGCCGGGCGCGGTGGCTCACCCCTGTAATCTCAGCACTTTGGGAGGCCGAGGCAGGCGGATCACGAGGTAAGGAGATCAAGACCATCCTGGCTAACAAGGTGAAACCCCATCTCTACTAAAAATACAAAAATTAGCCAGGGGTGGCGGCGGGCGCCTGTAGTCCCAGCTACTCGGGAGGCTAAGGCAGGAGAATGGCGTGAACCCGGGAGGCAGAGCTTCCAGTGAGCCGAGATCGCACCACTGCACTCCAGCCCGGGCGACAGAGCGAGACTCCGTCTCAAAAAACAAAACAAAACAAAAGAATCCTCACGGAGAGCTCACCTGAAGCGGCCCTGTCTGCATGCTATATCTCCTGTCCTGTATTCCCCCTGTGGAGTTAAGCTGCATGAGTGCAAATGGCAAAACAAACCTGCAATTATTGCTTGTGGTCAGCCAGAGGGTGTACCACAGAGTAGTGGCATGATGATACAATGCCAATTCTCAGAACCTGAGGTCAGTTTAGACAAGAAACTGTGAGGCAAAGGGAAAAAGGGTGGCTCTCAGTAGGCAGTAACATTTTGATACTTGTTCTAGTAGATAGATTTATACCCTCCACAAAAATTGTTCACTTATGTGAATGTGAACTTATTTGAAAATCACATCTTTGCAGGTGTAATCAAGTTAAGATGAGGTCATACTGGATAAAGACAGGCCCTAAATTCAATGACCTGTAGTTTTTGTTTTTTTTTGAGATGGAGTTTCGCTCTGTCGCCCAGGCTGGAATGCAATGGTACAATCTCAGCTCACTGCAACCCCCGCCTCCCAGGTTCAAGCGATTCTCCTGCCTCAGTCTCCTGAGTAGCTGGGATTACAGGTGTATGCCACCACGCCCAACTAATTTTTAGATTTTTAGTAGAGACGGGGTTTCACCATGTTGGCCATGCTGGTCTTGAACTCCTGACCTCAGGTGATCCACCTGTCTCGGCCTCCCAAAGTGCTGGGATTACAGGTGTGAGCCACTGCACCCGGCCTTGACCTGTGTTTTTATAAGAGGAGAAGACATACAGACACACGGGAAAGAAAGCCATGTGACAGTAGAGGCAGAGATGGGAATAGCACAGATATAAGCCAAAGAATGCCGAGGTTTGCTAGAAACCACCAGAAGCTAGGAGAGAGGAATAGAACCGATTTTCACATAGAGCCTTCTGAAAAAAAAAAATCAACTTTGCCGCCATCTTGGTTTTGGACTTCTGGGCTCCTGAGCTGTGATACAAATTCCTGTTGTTTTAAGTCATCTAGTTTGTGATAATTGGTTACAACAGTGCTAGGAAACTAATATAATTGAACAGGTTTGATAGTGAAAGAAAGATCTGTGATGTGTGACAACTTAGGAATCTTTCCCACGCTTGGCAAAAGGATGGGGTACAATAAAAGCTGTATGGAGATAAACCTAGGCCTCGAGACCTGTCTACTCCTCTAACCATCCATCAAAAGACCTTAAGGAGGAAAAAAAGCTGAAAGTTGACTGGCGAGTGTCATCCAGCCAATGGTACAGATACTAAAAATCATACAAAAGAGATATACTGGTAGCCCCTGGCTACAATGACCATTGGTCAGACCAGGATCTGATGACTAGTAAGACAAGGAGTTTATATGATATGATAATATTCACCCCTGTTTATGGCTAAAGCCATGAGCCAACCACAGATGTGGGGTTCTTTGTTATCTTTTATTCCAATCAGTATCCAACCAATAGTTAGAAATACCGGGGGGCTCCAGGAGAGGAAGTAGTAGAACATGCATTCTGCCACGGGCTGTGACTTCATGTTCACAGTGAGGATGCATGTTGATGCCAAAGCTGCTGCCACCATAATGGCAAAAGAATGAGAAAAGTGCAGAGTAACCACGGTCCCACGTGTGAGAAATGACCCCACCACTTCCCAGTGTGGCTCAAGCCCAGCAGCAGTCAGGGAGGTAGAGAAGGGAACATGAGTGCCATTGGCCTGACAGAACTCCCAGGTTACCTGGTTACCATAGCTGCCAGGTGATTATACCCTTCATTTGAGTCTTCTCCTAACATCTGGACTCCTAACATCTGGATATGATAATGCAAACTTTAAGTCTCTCTGCAGGTAGATAGTAAAATTAGAGTGTCTCTACGAGTGACTTTTAGGGGAGGATGTCTTTTGAAGTTTCTAGACAATATCCTAGACACTTCTTCTGGATTCTTGGTCAGAAACTGCCAATAAGGAAAGTAGAGCCTGTTTTGACATCCAGAGACCCTGAGAGCTCAGAAACATTGTAGCATCTCCTCCCCATTCCTCTGTGCACTGAGTTCTTGCTTCAGCTACTCCTTAGAGTCCAGGGCCCAATCTATACCACATTAATGACTCTCTCCCCAAGAGCTGTAGTGTTCTGGTCAATATATCTCCAAAAAGCTATTTTTTAACATAGAATCATTTTCATTAAGCAATCCCTAATGTCTTTTTCTGTCTGTTACTTCGTGAGAATATGCTGAAAGAGTTTTTTTTCAAATTAGTTTCCAACCACCTCAACTGCCACCACTCTGGTAGAAACCACCTGAATTCAGGAAATTGTTCTTCCACTAGTCTTGCTGATACTATCATTGCCCTTCCTTTTTTTTTGAGACGGAGTTTTGCTCTTGTTACCCAGGTTGGAGTGTGGTGGCATGATCTCGGCTCACTGCAACCTCTGCTTGCTGGGTTCAAGCGCTTCTCTTGCCTCAGCCTCCCGAGTAGCTGGGATTACAGGTGCCTGCCACAACGCCCAGCTAATTTTTGTATTTTTAGTAGAGAGAGTTTCACCATGTTGGCCAGGCTGGTCTCAAACTCATGATCCACCTCAGGTGATCCACCCGCCTTGGCCTCCCACAGTGCTGGGATTACAGGTGTGAGCTACTGTGCCCACCCATCACTGTCCTTCTTCACTCTGCTCTCATCTCTGTTCTTACATCAGTAGACAGAGTGATCACCTTAAAGCAGATGTCAATCATGTCACTCTCCTGTTCAAACCCATGCCACCCAGAGCGAGGCCAGACTTCATAATGGTCCAGTTAGGTCCACATCACACATGCCTTCCCACTGCCTCAATCCTCAGAGCTCACCATATTTTTTTTTTTTTTTGAGACAGAGTCTTGCTCTTTTCCCCCAGGCTGGAGTACAATGGCGAGATCTTGGCTCACTGCAACCTCCACCTCCTGGGTTCAACTGATTCTCCTGCCTCAGCCTCCCGAGTAGCTGGGACTACAGGCATCCGCCACCACACCCGGCTAATTTTTGCATTTTTTTAGTAGAGACACAGTTTCACCACATTGGCCAGGCTGGTCTTGAACTCCTGATCTCTGGTGATCTTCCTGCCTTGTCCTCCCTAAGTGCTGGGATTACAAGCGTGAACCACCGCGCCTGGTAAGAACTCACCTTTTATGCCTCTCCAGGCACACTCCCATCTTAATCTTCCACACTGTTCTCCTTTTAAGCCCGTGGGAAAAACCATTAAAGCCTTTAATTTCCTCGCATTCTTAAGATTCTACTCAAATGTGTTCTTACAATGAAAACTATTTAAAACTTTCATAAAAACTATTTAAAGTTGCAAGGCCTTCATGAGGTCTTTACAGAGTCATTACCCTAATGTAACTTCTTGAAGATGTTACTCCATAGTATTAGTCATCTTCTTGTGTACTCTAACATTCATCGATATGGTCTATGATCACTTTCTATTTGGATGTAGGCTTCCACGTATATTTCATATTTATTGAATGTTAAATGGATGCTAATTGCACGTTTTTACATTAGCAGCCTGCTTTATAATCAATTTTATCCCATATGTTGGGTCTTGTGCCTGACTAGACGCCTCTGGGAGACAGTCAGTATGTAGGCAGACATGGATTCTACCCAGGAGTAAGGCAGAGACACAGGATGGCAGTTACAGTGAACTCTGAAGGGTGAGAGCAGAGGCCAGAATGGCATGTGTCAGAATATCTGTAACATATCAATCAAGGTGCAAATTGCTCACAAGTGAGCTTAAGATAGGACATACTCTATATCAAATTCTTAACAAGAAGATTAAATCCGTGGGCTCCTTCTGAGCCCACAATGAACAACTTCTGTTAAGTAATTGTGAGCAAAGAAAAGCAATAACAAATTGAGGTTACAAATCAATGCCAAGGTGTGTCTAAGAGGAAGAATGATGAGGAGCAAGTTCTGAGACAGGTGAAGACGCTGGTAGCACATGGGTTACTGAAGTAAAAGTAAACAGGTATGTTCAGGGATGTGCAAGGAGAGCCCTGAGACCTGCAGAAAGACATAGGAACAGAGGGAACAGAGCGGTGTGCGGCAGTCACATCACTCAACCTGCTATTGTCAGGGAGGCCAAGGACTAAGAATACGTGAGGATGGCCACAGAAAGCCCCTTAGTGGTTGCCAGGAGGGCAGCAAAAGAACCCACTTCAACCCCTGGCCGTGCTCCCATGGCTCCATTCTATCTGACGCCACATACTAGGAGCTAAGCCCTGCACACACTTGGAAAACAGAGACCTCCTTTCACCAACTTCTCTTTTGAGGAGGGAGTAGGAGGTGGAAAATAAGAGATCTTCTGTTCATCTCTTTGAGAGAGAGAAAGAGAGAGAGAGAATTGTTTCCTTTGCAAGGTAGAAAATCAAAATTATACAATAGGAAGGGAATGGAAATAGATTCAGCCTGGAGGAAAAAAAGACACCCCAGAAAACAAAGGCGGCCTTCTGCCTCTTTAACACTGCTTTCAAGGCTGTCCCTCCCCAGACTCTAGGCTGCTATCAGTGTGCACTCAAAGCAGGAAGCCTGCAAGCTAGCCTTTGCTCCCGACAGAGCAGGGGAGACTTGGGGCCATAAATCAAATTCCCCTAACTTCACTGAGAACTTTTCTCCTGGAGTCTCATACCCTCTACCCCCCACAAACCTCCCCACACACCTTCAGAGCAACAGAAATCTCGGCTCCTGGTTGAAGAGGTGAAGAAAAGCCAGGGTGGGTGTGGTCAGGATTCATTCAACAAATGAGGTTCCTCTGTGTGAAGAAGTCCCTCCCTCCTGAGGAGGAACTGCCTGAGAAATGAAAGTGAAATTTTTGGGGCTGTCAGGAAGAGAAAAGGGGAAGGAGCGTCTAGGTGAAATGAGCTGTGTAGTCCTTTAGAGCCTCTGGACAGAAGGTAATGCTCTTAATCCAGTGATTCTCGAGGGCAGAATGGAGGATTTGCACTAGATGGCACATTTGGCAATGTCTGAAGAGATATTTGGTTGTTAACTAGGGGAATGCTACTGGCATCTTAGTGGGTACAGGTCACAGATGCCGCTAAGCATTCTACAATGTATGGGACAGTTCCCACAGCAAAGAATGATCCATTCCAAAACATCAATAGTGCTGTGTTTGAAAAGCCCTGTTTTAACCTTCCCTGCCTCCCAGGCCAGCTAAACACCCAACTCCCCTTCTCCTACCACTTTCATGGTTGCACATGGTCCCTCGAATCAGTTTACCAATTTGAATTATCCTTCAGCTCCAACGATCCACTTGTGTGCTACCTACCAAAGTACCATGTCACCCGCTAGGAGATGGAGGATGGGTGGCGGAGAGGTGGATGGTGCTGAGAAAAGTTGGCTACAAAGGACCTGGGGAACTTTTGGGAGTGTTGGAAATGCTCTAAATCTTTAAAAGGGGTAAAACTTTTTCAAAACTCATCAAACTGTGCACAGTAAATGGGTGCATATTATTGCATATAACATATATATCAGTAACATTATTTAAAAATGAAAAGTCTTCCAGGTAATTTTTACGCGAATCTGAGGCTGAGAACCACTAGTTGTAAGTAGTAAATCAGGAGTTTTGTGCCCTGGACAGAAAGGGCTGCTTTGAAACTGAGGTAACCTTGAAATCAAACCGAACGAGGAGGAAACTTGAACAAGAGTTGCCACTCGTTTGGTCACAGGATGACCCCACATTGTGCCTCCACAAACAGCATGCTCCATTTTCATGAGGAATATAAGTTGATAGATTCATTTTCTGTGCTGTATGCATCAAAACAATCCTAGTCTACCTCCTGTAGAGCACATTACATAATAAAAGGTGCCACCTTTGGAAACCACCTGACAAGGTACAATTTTCATTTTTGCCCTCTCCATCTGACTCATGCATGGTGATCAAGGACAATTATAAACTTGTTGGAAGTTTAACAACTTTCCCACAAAAATGTATCCACATCCAATACCTTGGGAATATGCTTTGACTACTTTTAAGGGAGTCAATTACTATCAGGTTAGTGCAAAAGTAATTGCGGCTTTTGAAATTAAAAGTATTATAAAGCCAACTGTGGTGGCTCACACCTGTAATCCCAGAACTTTGGGAGGTTGAGGCGGGCGGATCACAAGGTCAGGAGTTCGAGACCACCCTGGCTAACATGGTGAAACCCCCGTCTCTACTAAAATTACAAAAAAAAAAAAAAAAAATTAGCCGGGCATGGTGGCATGCGCCTGTAATCCCAGCTACTCAGGAGGCTGAGGCAGGAGAATTGCTTGAACCCGGGAGGCGGAGGTTGCAGTGAGCCGAGATCGCACCACTGCACTCCAGCCTGGGTGTCAGAGCAAGACTCTGTCTCAAAAAATAAAAAAATAAAAATAAACAAAATAAATAAAAGTATTATAATAGCAAGAACCGCAATTACTTTTGTACCAACCTAATACTTTCAGATTTCTTTTCCTTATTTCAATATTGGTAACTAATACATTTAGATAGTGTAAAAGGGAAGAAAATCTCGGGACCCAAAAATCACTAAGCCAAAGGGAAAAGTCAGGTTGAGAACTGGTTAGGGCAAACCTGGCTCCCATTCTATTCCAAAAAAAGACAGCTACTAAGATAAAAAAAAAAAAAAAAAAAAAGCTCCAGACAGAACTCAAAGTCACCCCTTTGCTCAGGTGAGATAAATGAATATCTGGTTACTTCCTTTGCCCTATTGCTTAATGCAACCTGTTTGTCTTTTATCTACCTATGACCTGGAAACCCCCTTCCGGACTCAGCTGTCCCGCCTTTGCGGACATATATTGATTGATGTCTCACATCTCCCTCAAATGTATAAAACCAAGCTGTGCCCTGACCACCTTGGGTACATGTTGTCAGGACCTCCTGAGGCTGTCATGGGTGCATCCTTAACCTTGGCAAAATAAACTTCCTAAATTGATTGAGAGTTTTCTCAGATACTCTTTCATTTACAATAGTAAAGCATCAGACAGATTTGTTAAAGCATGTGTTGAGATGTGTATATTACCTTAGCCCATCAGTTCTGTGTGGATGACATTCAATTTTTCATCATTCATTTTGTTCACTTGAGTTTTTTCCGGTTTTTTTTATTTGTTTGTTTGTTTTTTTGAGATGGAGTTTCGTTCTTGTCGCCCAGACTGGAGTGCAATGGCATGATCTTGGCTCACCGCAACCTCCGCCTCCCAGGTTCGATTCTCCTACCTCAGCCTCCTGAGTAGCTGGGATTACAGGCATGCGCCACCACGTCCAGCTAATTTTTCTTTTTTTCTTTTTTTTTTTTTTGAGAGGTAGTCTCGCTCTGTCGCCCAGGCTGGAGTGCAGTGGCGTGATCTCGGCTCACTACAAGCTCCGCCTGCCGGGTTCACGCCATTCTCCTTCCTCAGCCTCCCAAGTAGCCGGGACTACAGGCACCTGCCACAACGCCCGGCTAATTTTTTGTATTTTTAATAGAGGCAGGGTTTCACCATGTTGGCCAGGATGGTCTCAAACTCTTGACCTCATGATCTGCTTGCCTCGGCCTCCCGAAGTCCTGGGATTACAGGTGTGAGCCACCGCGCCCAGCTGAGTTTTTTCCTTTTTAAAAAACTCATTTCTCTGAGTTCAATGGACATGCAACTATGCTATGTCTTTAATGTCTTTTTGTTATTTTCTTAACAACTGTCTAGTCTGAACCCCGAAAATCTGAGACAGATCTCAGATAATATAGAAAGTTTATTTTACCAAGGCTGAAGACATGTGTCCCTGACAGCCTCAGGAGGTCCTGACAACATGTGCCCAAGGTGATCAGAGCACAACTTGGTTGTATACATTTTAGAGAGACATGAGACATCAATCAATAAATGTGAGATGTACATTGGTTCCATCTGAAAAGGCAGGACAACTCAAGCAGGGAGGGGGCTTCCAGGTCACAGGTTGGTGAAGGACAACCTGTTGCATTCTTTTGAGTTTCTGATTAGCCTTTTCAAAGGAGTCAATCAGATAGGCATTTATGTCAGTGAGCAGAGGGATGACTTTGAATAGAATGGGAGGCAGGTTTGCCCTAAGCAGTTCCCAGCTTGACTTTTCTATTTGGCCTAGTGATTTTGAAGCTCCAAGATTTATTTTCCTTTCATACTACCAACATATAATATATTAATGGTAGAAAAATCATCACTTTTGGAAACTCTTAGGCATTCTTCTGGTGCCTCACTCTCAGCTGAGCTGTGCTTCTGGATAGCAGAAATGACCTGGACAGAAAAATGAGCAAGTTTAGTCATTCAAGAATATGCAGCTATTTCCATGGGCATGTACTTAGAGCTCTATGTAAACAGGAGTGGCTAACAAGAGTTGGCAAGGGTCATATCCTCAAGGCTTGTTTACACAGGCAGAGAGAGCCAGCTGGGAAATTATCTAGAGACACCAGTGCAGGAGTAAAGTATCTGTCTTCTCAGATCCCTCTGGCTTTACTCACACCATTCTCCCAGGTCCCAAAGCCCTGAAAATGAAAGTCATAAATATCCCAAAAGAGTTACCTGGAATTTAAGAGAGTGCAGCAGCCTGGAGTGATCCAGAGCCTCGGGCATTGCAATAAAGGGGTGACTGGGATGCAGGGGTTAAAGGAAAATGGATAGAAGTGAATTTCCTCCAGTTGCTATGGATGAGTGCTGGAGATAGGAATGTGTGTCTACACATAGAGAAACTGCCTGTATCTAACTTGGAATCGCTTCCCCCACCAAAGGTCACCAAGATATGGGGACTAAAAATATTCTAGTAAAGCTGGGACCAGAACAGTAACTGCTTTACTAGTTTAGAAGCAGAGAAAGGATAGTTGGCAACAAAAATGCCAAAAGACACAGGGACTCTACCATATATACTATGTGAACACTGCACAGCAGCTTTTGCCTTGCTATCTCACTGTAGGAGCAGAACAGGCTTTGCTTCATTCCTGAGGTCTACCAGAGCCTCTCACTTAATGGAAAGAAGAAGCTAATCTGGAGGAAGAGAACACTGACAAACACCATTGCAGAGGGAGCCCATGACAGTACTTCTGCCCCTCCCACCGTAAGGCATAATGTGCACCCATAACCTGAAAAATGGAGACTTAGCTGGGCAGACAGAGAAAGTGATTTCCAAAGAAAGAGAATTACTACAGAAGTAGAAAAGAATACCAGGAACTTCCAGTTTTAGTTCCAACATGTAAAGAGCTTGAGACTCATTACTGCAACCCTCACAAGAGAAAAAAAGCTTGGCTGGACGCAGTGGCTCACTCCTGTAATCCCAGCACTATAGGAGGCTGAGGCGGGCGGATCACGAGTTCAGGAGTTAGAGTCCAGTCTGGCCAAGGAATTCGAGACCAATCTGGCCAACATGGTGAAACCCCGTCTCTACTAAAAATACAAAAGCTTAGCTGGGTGCAGTGGCGCGCGCCTGTAGTCCCAGTTACTTGGGAGGTTGAGGCAGGAGAATCCATAGAACCCAGGAGGCGGAGGTTGCAGTGAGCCGAGATCCCGCCGCCGCACTCCAGCCTGGGCGACAGAGTGAGACTCAGTCTCAACAAAAAAAAAAAAAAAAAAAAAAAAAGAAGAAAGAAAAGGAAAAAAAAGCTAAACCAACTAAAAATCAATGACTTTCCTAAGTCTCATCAGATAAAGTCACAGGAAAAAAACTGCCACCCCAAAATGTAGAGACAGGTAAACACAGAATAAACAGCCTAAATCTGCTTACCTGAAGCAGAAGTTGCATGAGTCAGGACGGGCGCAGTGGCTCACACCTGTAATCCCAGCACTTTGGGAGGCTGAGGCGGGTGGATCACTTGAGGTCAGGAGTTTGAGACCAGCCTGGCCAACATGTCGAAACCCTGTCTACAAAAATACAAAAATTAGCCGGGCATGGTGGTGGGCGCCTGTAATCCCAGTTACTCGGGAGGCTGAGACAGGAGGATCGCTTGAACCCAGGAGACAGAGGTTGCAGTGAGCCGAGATCACACCACTACTCTAGCCTGGGCAACAGAGTGAGGCTCAGTCTCAAAAAAAAAAAAAAAAAAAAAAAAAAAAAAAAAATTTAAAACAGGAGTTGCCTGAGTCATATACTGGTAGGAACACTTAAATAGTAGTTCTGACAAATTGCCGGAGGCTGATTATGGACTAGCTTGAGAGAGAGAAACTCCTAGCACCTAGACTTAGGGCCCCGCCCCCGCCCCACTTGCTTGGAATTTACCTCCAAAAACCAAAGTGAGTTCCCATAGTGGAAAGCCAAGAAAAAGATCCTTTCTTTTCTGGCAGAGAGAGAGTAAAAGAACCATTCTGAAATATGTTCAGAGCATCCCCCATAACAAAGGCCTACTCTCCACTGGAAAAGACTGGAAAGCAGAATGCTTTCTCCAAATAAGACAAAGAACTGAAGATTCCTGTACTTCTCTGGCAACAGAATGAAGGAGGCGTATTCTTGTACGATCATGTGGTTACCACTGAAACTGTTTTGAGGACATCAAAATATTGATAATGGCAATCTGTTGGCCTTTATGGTACAAAATGCCTGAGAGGCAGGGACAGCTATTCCATATGCAGAGTAGATGTCAACTTTTGTCAATAAGTACTTGCAGAGGCTCTTTTTAGGTAATAGGAGTACCAAGTCCACTTGCTACATACACAAAGCTGGTCGTTTTTCCCAGGGAGTTCATATGACTCAGGCTACCCTCATATCACCGTTTGCACACAATACATTGATTCACACATTCTTCATTTTCTCCAGGATTACTGTGAATTTTTACCCAATGACATGAAGCCTGCTCATGTGAGTGATATAAAATGGCTTGTCCTTATCATGCTACACTGATGTTTCCCAAATAAGTCACGGTTTTAGCTTTGTCACTGTTTCTCTCCCAAATCTGCCCTTAATGAGATTTGTGTCCTCCTTATGTCTTATAATTGTACAAAGCTTAAAATAGAATTTCCTCTCATAGTCCAATCTTTTCTCCCCCAGAGTATACTACATTTGATGCTATCTATAATCAATCAAGGTTCAAGAATCAAAACAATCATGTACTTGTGCCATTGTTTTATAGTAGATTAATCAATATGCAATGTATACAGTTTATCATCTAGGTTAATTTTCTCTCTTCTTTTACCCTGTATATCCATTGACATTCCTGACTGTGGTGTTAAAATTTGCATATGAAATGATTTTATTTTGTTTTTCAACATAAGCTTTCAACTTAAAGTTTTCATCATTATCTTGGTCACGTAAGCTAGACCCCAAGTTTAATATTACTTATATCATTTATGAGTAATATAGGAGTCTATTCCTTCATTAGGCCTAAGATTACATTTTGAGCATTATACATTACTTTGACTATTTGTTTGTTTGTTTGTTTGTTTTTGAGATGGAGTCTCACTCTGTTGCCCAGGCTGGAGTGCAGTGGTGTGATCTCGGCTCACTGCAACCTTTGCCTCCTGGGTTCAAGCGATTCCCCTGCCTCAGCCTCCCAAGTAGCTGGAATTACAGGCGCGGGCCACCATGCCCGGCTAATTTTTGTATTTTTAGTAGAGATGGGGTTTCACCATGTTGGTCAGGCTGGTCAAACAGTAAATATTTTAGGATTTGCAGGTCAAGCAGTCTCTGTTGCAACCAGTCAACACTGCTGTTGTAACTTGAAAGCAGTCACAGATGATACATAAATAAGCATGGTGATATTCCAATAAAGTACATTTACAAAAATAGGTATCAAAGTAGGATTTGACTCACACACTGACCTTTTCAGATTTCTAACAGACAGAAATGAATAAAAATGTTGCCTCTGAATTTTGCTGCCCTGTTTTGTAGGTCAATTCTGCCACTTCATATGTGTCCAACTTTGAGCAAATTCTTTCATCTCACTGTACCTCCATTTTCTCATTTTTTTTAAAAAAAGGATAATGACAGTACCTATTTTCATAGGACCACTATAAAGATTGAGCCCAGGCCATGCGCGGTGGCCCAAGCCTGTAATTCCAGCACTTTGGGAGGCTGAGGCAGGTGGATCACCTGAGGTCAGGAGTTTGAGACCAGCCTGGCTAACATGGCGAAACCCCGTCTCTACTAAAAAACACAAAAATTAGACAGGCGTGGTGGTTGATGCCTGTAATCCCAGCTACTCGGGAGGCCGAGGCTGGTGAATCGCTTGAACCTGGGAGGCGAAGGTTGCAGTGAGCCGAGATCGTGCCATTGCACTCCAGCCTGGGCAACAAGAGCAAAACTCTGCCTGAAAAAAAAAAAAAAAAAAAGATTGAGTCCATATATATAATGTATAGAAACGTGATTGACACAGAGGAAGCGATATAGAAAACTCAGTTGCTGTCTTCATACAAGTACCCTCAGTGGTCAGGTGGAAATGTGTGTGATTCAAATGTATGTGTTGACTTTCAGTTCAAAAATGTGAGGGTTTCCTTCGATCTCTTGAAATAAAGGCCAATGCTTAGCTGAGATAGGCAATAATGCCTTAAACTTGCAGTTCTATCTTGATTTCTCTCCTAACATTTCTCCTCTGCTTTTTCAAAGATTCCAAAATAGACTCCATTTCCCTAATTGTTTTTCATATTTTAATTATTTGCCCTTCAAATACTAGTATGTTTTCAAGATGGATAAAAATGAATCAATATTTTATTTCTTTGTTGATTCCTTATTTGACAAGAGCCTGTACCTAAGCTTGCATTTATTTAAAAAAAAAAAAAAAAAGCTGGGCGTGGTGGCTTATGCCTGTAATCCCAGCACTTTGAGAGGCCGAGGCAGGTGGATCACCTGAGGCTGAGAGTTTGAGATCAGCCTGGCCAACATGGTGAAACACTGTCTCTACTAAAAATACAAAAATTAGCCGAAGGTGGCAGGCACCTTTCATCCCAGGTACTTGGGAGGCTGAGGCAGGAGAATCGCTTGAACCCAGGAGGCAGAGGTTGCAGTGAGCCGAGATCGTGCCACTGCACTCCAGCATGGGCAACAGGAGGGAGACTCCATCTCAAGGAAAAAAAAAAAAAAAGGTTATTCTCGGCCTCAAACATCAACCCCATGAGAACCTGAGAACTAGCCCTTCACCAATCAAATGTAATGTTTCAAATCTTGGAACCCTAAAACCCCAAATTTATCTTCTAAAAGATGGTTGAAATAAACCTTGCACAGAATATGCCTTTGTTTTATCCCCTAACTGACTGAGTCTCTGTGAAGGCAAGGGCTAGACTGTATGCACAAAGCAGTTATACAGCAAATGTTTAAAAAACTGAGAGTCCCATGGAATCAAGATCATTTCTGACAAAATATAAAGTAGCAAAATATTTAAATTTTAATTAAAACTAAGTTAAAATGCCAACTCAAGCAGTAACTTGTTGGGAAAAATGAAGATAACTATATTATTTACCTAGAGCAACTACATGCCACTTAAATACTTTTCTTTTTTTTGAGACAGTGTTTCGCTCTTGTTGCCCAGGCTGGAGTACGAAGACACAAATAGTTTAAAAGTAAAAAGATGAGGCCGGGCGCGGTGGCTCACGCCTGTAATCCCAGCACTTTGGGAGGCCGAGGCGGGTGGATCACGAAGTCAGGAGATCGAGACCATCCTGGCCAACACGGTGAAACCCCGCCTCTACTAAAAATACAAAAAAATTAGCCGGGCGTGGTGGTGGGCGCCTGTAGTCCCAGCTACTCGGGAGGCTGAGGCAGGAGAATGGCGTGAACCCGGGAGGCGGAGCTTGCAGTGAGCCGAGATCGCGCCACGTCACTCAACTGCGCCATGTCACTCCAGCCTGGGAGACAGAGCGAGACTCCGTCTCAAAAAAAAAAAAAAAAATGAAAAGATATGTTATGAAAACAATAATCAAAAGAAAGCTGGGCTGGGCACGGTGGCTCACGCCGGTAATTCCAGCACTTTGGGAGGCCGAGGCGGGTGGATCACCTGAGGTCAGGAGTTCGAGACCAATATGACCAACATGGTGAAACCCCGTCTCTACTAAAAATACAATATTAGCCGGACGTGGTGGCAGGTGCCTGTAATCCCAGCTACTCGGGAGGCTGAGGCAGGAGAATCACTTAAACCCAGGAGGCAGAGGTTGCAGTTAGCCAAGATCACGCCACTGCACTCCAGCCTGGATGACAGAACGAGACTCCATCTCAAACAAACAAACAACAACAACAACAAAAAAAAAACAAAAAACAAGAAAGCTGGAGTGGCTAAATTAATACCTAACAAAGTAGAATTTGGAGAAAAAGATATTAGTAGAGATAGAGGGTCATTCCATAATGAGAAAGGGGTGTCAGTTCATCAACAGGATGTAACATTCCTAAATGTGTATGCTCCTTACAAAAGAGCTTCAAAAATCAGAAAGCAAAATCTCATAGAATTGCAGGAGAAATAGGCAAATCCACAAATATAGTTGTATATTTCAACACCCCTCTCTCATAGAAAAGCAGTAAAGATACAGAAGATTTGAATAATATCAACTAACATGATGTTAATTGAACACTGTACCCCAGGACCACAGAATACACATTTCTTTCAAGTGCAAATGAAACATTTACCAATATAGATCATATCCTTTACCGTAAAACAAGTCTCAATACAATTAAAAAGGATTCAAGTCATATAAAGTCTGTATCTGGACCATTTAAAATTAAATTATAAACCAATAACAAAAAGATATATGAACATCCTCATAGATTTGGGAAAAAATATAATTTTAAATAATTCAATGGTCAAAGAAGAAATCAAAAGGGAAAATAGAATCTTGAATAGAATGGAGAATATATCAAAATTTGTGAGATGCATTTAAAGCCACAGAAGGAAATGTATAGCTCTAAGTGCTATATATACAAAAAAGAACCCCATCTGATTTATTGCCTTGATGGTGATGAGTTTCACAAGTCAAAATGTATCAAGTTATATACTTTATGAAATGTATTATATGTCAGTTATATTACAATAATAATGTTAAGACAGTCCTCTTCCCCTAAAAAGATTATTTTTAAGTTAGAATCAAACTTACATGCCAGCTCTAACAAGCACTCGCTTGTTGGGAAATATTAGGATAACTATACCACATGTCTAGAACTTTAGTGACAATACAGTTCTCTTTTACAAACTTTAGGCTATAGAATGGAATTAACATAGTTCCAGAAAAAAGCTGAGATCCTGAGTCCTCTATAATGGGAAAAAGGATTACTTAGGGTTCCAGGCAGTTTCCACCAAAATCTGAGTTTTCTTTTCCTTGAAATTTGATTGTACATGATTGCATACAGCTAGACATTTAAAAAATCTTTACAGTTAGGTTTAGCCCTATGGCTATTCTCATTAATAGAAAATGAGCAGATATTACGAATCCCATCTATGAACTAAGGATTTAAAAAGCACGTTTTCTCCCCTAAGTTTTCTTCACCTTTCTGCCAGCTTCATGCTGTTACCATTCTGGGGTACAGCAAGTGCCACAAGATGAAAGCAAGCTTGGTGCATGAATCCCACATGGAACAGTGCCACTCACCACCAGTTACATACACTCATGACCGATTGTTTTACATTAACAAGAAGTACATTTCTTTAGTATTTGATCCATTATGTATTTTTAGAGTTCTTTTTCATAGTAGTTGAGCCTACTCTATCACATGTCAAGAACAGAAGGCCTCTGTCAAGCCCCCATAACCCCTCAAGAAAAGGTCAGAGCTGTGAACTTACCCTAATAATTGTCCCCAAGTCTCAGATTGAGCAACCTTCCCCAGGTCTTACCTATAGAATTCCAGCAAGTACTTAGTTTGGCTTTCACTATTATCTAAAGTCATTCACTGGACAATACTTTGGGTTCTCCAAGTGAATTTACTTATAAAGAAGTAAATATCACAATAAAGCTGTTAAGAAAGTCCCTCTCCCTTCCAAAATCTTCTTTTTAAGTTAGCATCAAACTTAAATATCGGCTCTAGCAAGCACTCACATTTTGGGAAATATTAGGATAACTATACCACATCCCTAGAACTCTGGTGACAAAAAAGAAAAATTACTTATAAAGTAAATTCACTTGGAAAGTAAATTTACTTGTAAAATGAGTTTACAGAAGAGAGCTGGGCTAACTCTTTTGCCTAGAACTTACTTATTATATGGGAAAATAAGTGGGAAGGGGATAACTACTCCAGCAGATCTTTCTCTTTCCTGAACTTCCACCAGCCCCATAGGTCCCAGTCAGCTGGCCCTATCTCCTTTTATATCTCTTCCAATTGAAACGCAGACCAGGATAAGGAGTTTGCATCCAGCCTCTGGGCTTCCACAGATATGATCTCCCAAATATTATAAAACGGTGCCTTAGAACAAACCAGTAGTGAGCTTTTACTATAATCTGCACTACTTTATCTCACCATAGACACCCAAGCTGAGCCTTGATAACAAATCAGTGTTTCATCAAACCATGAAGGAGCTTCAAGTGCCCAACAGACTGAGGACTAACGGCAGGGGCCAGAGTCTGCAGAATCATTCTCTGGTCATGAGCCCTTTCTATGATCTTCCAAATTTCTACACTTCTAGATATGTTGAGATCTTCTTTTCTCTGTCATTACCTTCCATAAAAATGCCTCAGGGCAGCTGGGAAGGTGCAGGTTCTGTAGAGATAAACATATGTGCCTTGAAACCTCCTCTGTATCCTGAGTCCATAGGCTTTTACACTAGGGCTCACTTAGGGACAGAAATTTCATTATAGGATCTACTCCAGAGTTGTCCAATAGAAATACAATGTAAGCCACATATGTAATTTTAAGGTTTCTAGTATCCACATTAAAAAAGTAAAATGAAACAGGTAAAATGAATAACATACTTTATTTAATCCAATAGAGCCAACATATTATCATTGCAATACACAAAGGAAAAGTTATTAGTGAGATATTTTACATTATTTTTTGAAGTAGGTATTTGAAATCTGGTATATATTTTATACATTGAGCACATCTCAATTCAGACTAGGCATGTATGAAGTACTCAACAGACATTGGTGGCTCCTGGATACCATATGGGACAGCCAGTGCCATTCTCATCCTTGATATTTGTTTCTACCCTCACATGTACCTCTTAATTTCTTTTATAGCTGGTTCAAAAAACATATTGCACCTCTCTACCAAAGTCATAGCAGCTCACTCAACAGCTGTTTGTTCCTGCGCATAAAGAGAGTGTGGAAAAGCTGGAAGAAATCATCCTCTTCCTTTAAGTGCTTTATATTGTTCATATTTTCTCTTTGTGTTTTCTTTCTATTCTGAGAGAAAAATATGTATTGGATTGTTTTTCTCTCCCCACTACTCTTTTGTTTTTACTGCAATTAATTTGAAAGACGTATTTTTTTTTATTGTTCTATTGCTACTCTTAAATGTAGAGAGGAAGGCCAAAGGTTGTAGTGAAGATTGTAGTGAAGACTCTCTTCAATTTGAGTTTGAAGCTACCCAAATTATCATTATAATGGTTTGGTTTTAGAGCTCAATCCTATACATACTTATACAAAAACAAAGTAATTTATTTGCTTATTATTGCATTTTATAGAACCTGGCAAAGATATTACAAGAATGTAAAAATACAGGCCAATTTCTTTCATTAACATAGATGAGAACAAAATCTAAACAATACGTTATCAAAATAAATCCAGTATTGCATACAACAAATAATAATGGTGTATTTCAGCAAGTTGTGGTAACAAATTGAAGTAAATCAATGTACTAAGCCACATTAACAGAACAAAAATGATACACAATTGTCTCAATAATTTACAGAAAAGACATAGGTAGAATACGAGTTTTCATTTTATACAAAAACTTGTAGTAAATTAACAGATCAGAACTTCCTAAATTTGATCCCCTGCATCAATCAAAAAAAACCTGCATCAAATACTATGCTTAATGGCAAAATACTGAAAGCGCCCCCTATCCACCTCAAGACCTGTCATCAGTCAAAGATGCTTACTCTCACCACTGGGTGCATCCTAGTACTGAGTAACTGTTTAAAACGAAAGAACTGTCTGGGCGCGGCGGCTCACATCTGTAATCCCAGCACTTTGGGAGACCGAGGCGGGTGGATCACTTGCGGTCAGGAGTTCGAGATCAGCCTGGCCAACACGGTGAAACCCTATCTCTATAAAAATACAAAAATTAGTTGGGCATGGTGGTGGGTGCCTGTAATCCCAGCTACTTGGGATGCTGAGGCAGGAGGTTCGCTTGAACCCAGGAGGCAGAGGTTGCAGTGAGCCGAGATTGCGCCAGTGCACTCCAGCCTGGGCGACAGAGCGAGATTCCATCTCAAAAAAGATTCAAAAACCAAAAAACAACAAAAGAATTGAGAACACAGAAAAACAGAAGATCAGAAGGGAGAATCACATGCTGATAAGCCTCAGGGTACTTATCAGAAGTGGGTGGGAACAGAAGAATATTCAAGAGCTTGGACGACGCAGGGTCATAGGAATTACACAGTTGCAAGGATTAAAATATGGACAAAGAGTAGTGGGAAAGTAATATTTAGAGAAAGTGTAGATGGGGAAGCCATGGTTTGTGACATTATAAAAGGAGACAGTACCAGCCTCATAATCTAAGAAAACCCCAACACGGCGAGGGGGCACTGTCATGGAGAGAAGCAGGGAAGGGGAAGAATCCTCATAGGCCCTATATTCATGGTTATGCTGTAACCCAATCACCCAGTATCCACTCTGAGGCTGATACCTGGAGTAAGCACTGTGATTTTGAGCAAAATGGTTGAAAGAGAATGTAGGTCCCAGTGAATTGCTGCATACCCCCAGGATCCAGGCAGTCTTCTTGGCCACATCTACCTCCCAGTAATGCTTACCAGAGGAGAAGTGCTGGGAGCCCAGGACACTACAGTCATAATGCTTTTCCAGACAGGAAGGTCCAGATACTTTAGCTCCCACAAACCTCACTTGTCTCCGGTTTTTAGCCAGGACAAGATTTAAATTAGCTGTGTGTGGATTCAGGGTCACGTCAACTGTAGGAAAAGGTACAACATCAGCAGATGAGAACGGGGACATGGGTCTCGTTATGCTGAGAAGAGGAAACACAGGAAGTGGTTGGAGGAACTGGAACTATATGGCGGGGATGGGGGAGGCATCAACACCTAGGATCTGTGTGGCTATGTCTGGGGAGGGCATGTGAAAGGAGATCAGAATGTGCCAGCCCAAAGAGGCCATGGCTTCTACTTACCCCAGTAGCTTTGGACATCTGTCAGCTCTGTAATGATGAAAAGAGTCAATAATGTTGAATAGGACCAACTGTCTCATGTCTGGTATCTCTCTCCTTACTACATTGAGGGGAATGGTGAGGAATCCTGTGAGGATGTCACCTGGCCATTTCATCTCCCCTTAAATACAAACCGCATCTTCTTCAGCACACTATGTCCCTCCCTCTGGGACCTCCCTCTTTGCCACTATGCTCAAATACCGACTATAGCCTCTATCCCGTTTATTTCTTCCCACGACAGTAATTTCACATCCAAACTCTTTCCCCTGAATCTCCTTACCTCTACACACTCGCAGCATCCTTTTCAGATCTGGGGCTCGGAACATACTTCTCAGCTTTGTAGGGAGAGCTTCTGGCTTCCTCAGGGTCCAGAACTCACTCCTAGAAAGGACAGGACTTCTGAGTTCCCACACTGCTGACTGTGGGTTCCTCCACCACCCATCTCCCTTACCTCCCAAGCCTACTGATGAATTCCAATCCTCCTTTCTGAATACACTTAGCATCATTCTGCAAACAGCCCTGGCACTGGAGCCAGAAGAGCTAGACTAGAAACTATCATCTCACCATCTACATAAACTTGTGTAAGATTTAACTTTTTTTTTTGAGAAGGAGTCTCGCTCTGTCACCCAGGCTGGAGTGCAGTGGCACGATCTCGGCTCACTGCAACCTCCACCTCCCAGGTTCAAGCGATTCTCCTGCCTCAGCCTTCTGAGTAGCTGGGACTACAGGCGCGTGCCACCACGCCTGGCTAATTTTCTTGTATATTTAGTAGAGATAGGGTTTCATCATGTTAGCCAGGATGGTTTTGATCTCCTGACCTCGTGATCTGCCCTCCTCAGCCTCCCAAAGTGCTGGGATTACAGGTGTGAGTCACTGCGCCTGTCCAAGATTTAACTTCTTAAAGTCTCATTTTGTTTTTCTGTTGTTGTTTTTAGAAAATACTATAATTTTCCTTTTTCTGTGTCCTAGAGATGTTATGCAGTTCAGTAAAATAATGGCTTGGAAATCTTTTGCTACCTCTAAAAAAAGATATAAAATATTTAAAATCAGAGGGGTTGAAGATGTCTGGGTTGACAGGCAGAACACCAGGGGCCTATTGCTGGGGCTTTGAAAGTATCAAATGAAGGGGTTTCTTCAGAAGAGTCTGTGGGCTTAGGCCCTGGGATTTCTCAGAAAACCTTCAAAACAGCATTTTAGGATTTGCCGTCTCTGGGAATGTTATGCCACTAGCTGGAGAAAAGATGTCCTCACCTCCAAACGGAGAGTACAGATTTCAGAAGGGACGATAGGGTTCCCATTTCGTGTGTCTGTGAGGAGCATGGAGGAACCAAGTGTGCAAGCAGCTTGACATGTCACCTTGTTGGATGAGACTCTGGAGTATGTGATAGAGAACATGTTTGATTCCCGGGCTAAATTATTATCCTCCAGAGCTCGGGTTTACGTTTTTACTGGAATTGAGACAAAAGAAAATCTACTAGGGAGCAAGGCCTGGGAGAAAGAAAAACTTAAGGCAGATGTGCCAAGACCAAATTCTTAGACCTTGAGAAATAATGCAGATGGGAATGTCACTCTGATAAAATTCACGGGCAGGAAGGTGCAGTGAGCCGAGATCACACCACTGCACTCCAGCCTGGGCGACAGAGTGAAACTCTGTCTCAAAAAAAAAAAAAAAAAAAAATTTATGGGCAAAGAAAATTCCTGTGTATTTTGAGGTAACTATAAACTTAAGAATCAGGGATGAAAGCAGGCACAGAGGTTTATGGAAAAGTACACTAACAGGGTACTTGGGGAGTCACTGATACTGCAACTCTTTATTCATTTTTTTTTGTTTGTTTGAGGCAGAGTCTCCCTTTGTCTCCCAGGCTGGAGTGCAGTGGCGCAATACTGCAACTCTTTATTCTAAATAACAGTACTGTCCCCACCTACTGACCTCCCATCACCCACATTTTCCTACCAGAGAGGCCAGTTCATCCCCTTTATTTGGGGATGCCAAAACTCCATGTGATGCGCGATTCAAGACTACTCTCTTGAATCTTCCCCACTCTGATTCTTCTTCCCTTTCCCACTGATCATGGGTAAAGGAATCATTTGTCAGTCCAGGGGAACTACCTCATGTTCTCCTTACACATACCTTTCTGTGACATCACTCACATCCTAGGAAGGAAAAAGACAGGTTAAGTCAAGGAGTAACAGGTCATGCCCTTATCCACATTTCTCCTTCCATGTCCCCTACCCCATGATATGATACAAATAAAGATAATCCTAATGTGGAGGCCACAAAGTAGAGAAAAAACTCAGGGCAGACTGTCCCTAAGAACCCATGTGAAGACATCAAAAAATAACTCAATTGACTCATCAGTGTCTTGATTTTCACAACATTGTGTGTGTGCATATGTGTGTGTAATGTTATGTATGTATAGCATGTATTATTTGTCAGGCATTGTGCCTGGCCTAGAGAACCTCAGATGATGAAGTCATAATTTCTATCCTTGAGTAGCTTACATCCTGTTCTGGTTGCTGAAGATACAGGCTCATGGACTTTATATATGGCTGTTTCTCAAACTTCACCTTCTCTAACCTTCTACCCTACCTTTGCTGACTTCATCCATTTCCTTCATTTTAATGTACACATGTTGATGATTCTCAAATCTGTACTTCTGCTCAGCCCCCTTTCCTTATGATTTTGATTAATATATACACCAGCAAATATGTCACAGGTACCTCAAATGCAAGATGTTTAAAAGAACTTAGTTCGGCAACTCTTGTCTCCCTTCCATCCTACTGAATCACACTAGCAACCACTTAAGTCACCAAATTTAAACAAAATAGGAAATAACTACCATATATTCACCCTGGCATCCTATCTTTGCCCAAGTCAGTCCACTTCACATCCTCAATTTCATTTGGTCACCAGTTGTTCACCTTTATCACTGCCACTGCTAGTCTCATTTCTGTGGAATTGGCCTATTCCTTTCTATTTGGTCTTTTTATCTTGTGCTCCATACATCTCAATGACCCCGAAGAAAAGCTTAAGTTTGGTCCACATAATACAGGATTAACTATTTTCTCTGTATTAGGGCTGTTTATGGTGGCATTTCATAGAGGCACAACTCAAACTGGCTTGAACATAGAATGTGGTAGAGGTGCTGTGTGTGTCAATTTGCAGTAAATATCCAGGATTGTATCAATCTTACATTGTGGCTGTACTGAGGAACTGAAATGATCAAATCGATGTGCTATTTCATGTGGCTACTTCTCTTATGTTGGCTTTATGTCCATATTTTGAAGCTTTTATCTTGGCTATAAAATATTTTTTTTTTTTGAGATGGAGTCTTGCTCTGTCGCCCAGGCTGGAGTGCAGTGGTGCGATCTCGGCTCACTGCACGCTCCGCCTCCTGGGTTCGCGCCATTCTCCTGCCTCAGCCTCCCGAGTAGCTGGGACTACAGGCGCCCGCCACCACGCCCGGCTAATTTTTTTGTGTTTTTAGTAGAGACGGGGTTTCACCGTGTTAGCCAGGATGGTCTCAATCTCCTGACCTCATGATCCGCCTGCCTCGGCCTCCCAAAGTGCTGGGATTACAGGCGTGAGCCACCGCGCTCGGCCTTGGCTATAAAATCTTAATGGGCAACAATTCACACAGATATGGAAAAGAGAAAGAACAATGTCTGTGATGGGAAAATTCCAGAAAGTTTATTTTTAGAAAAGACTACTCAAGTTTAAATGTCCGTGGGGCAGTCATACTAATGAATGTGGAAGTGTCTAAACTAGCAATATGAATTGACGATTCATTTGCATTTAAAAAATATTTACAGTTTGAGGACTGTTGAGGAGCCAGAACAAAAGGTGAAGGAGAAAGTATCAGGGTAATAATATCAATGATGAGGACAAAAAGGCAAGAAGAATAAAATGAAGATGCAAAGCAGGAAGCAGTGAATGAGAAAAAGCTGTAACAGGCAGAAAGTAGCTACCCATGGCTCTAATACTAAGACCCAAGAATATGTAAATAAACAATTATTCCACCAAGAAAGAAGGAGCAAGAGGAAAGCACGAAGACAAACAAAATATAAAGAATATCTTACACTCTGAAGGTTACAGAATATCACAAGCTACATCATGCCTCAAATTCACAACCACACTATTCATTCTATGCAGAAAATAGCTGCTAGAATTTCAACCTCAGTTCAAGTCCCTCCATCAAATCTCTCTAGGCTTGATACCTTGTAATCTGCGACCTACACACATACAGACCAGAGCCCAGACCCCCAAAACCAGTTCAAATATCAATTGCTACAGTATGTTAAATGATTCTGCTCTAGAGAAGAGAGTGAAAACAAAGAAGGGCTGGTAATACATCATCTCTAAGAATTTAGCTTGGCGTAAGTGTGCCTGTGACTAAGCTGGGTAAGAAGCACTTGGCAAATTCCCAACACAGCATCAGAGACGAGAGGTGCCTAATGAACAGTGGTTCTCAACTGGGAGAGCACTGTGTTCACCCTGGGGCTATCGTGGCAATGTCTGAAGAAATTTGGGGTTGTCACATCTGGGGTGGTGCTGCTGACATCTAGTGAGCAGAGGCCAGAGACGCTGCTAAGCATCCTACAATGTACAGGAGAACCCCACGCAGCAAAGAATTATCCAGCCAGAAATGTAAATAGTGCCAAGACTGAGAAAGAAAGAACAACATCACTGGATACAACAGAACTTCTCCACAGCATCAAATAAACTTTTAGACAACCCTTTATAAATAAAAATGGGACTTTCCCTTGCATTTGTACTCTGAATTATCTTACGCTTTACTCCATACCTCTAAACAGTTTAATAGGGGATAGGCACTATAGCGCCAAAGGAATGTTTTCTCTTGTCCCTGCAACGATGGTAGTCTGATGTCCCAGAAAGGAAGGAAAGTTAGTTTCTCTTTTCCTTGACTCTCAGATCTGGGCTCCTTCACAAGCCTTACCTGCAGCAGCTCCATTGTTGACCCCTGACATCGACGCTCCAGATCCGAGATGAGCTCTCGCAGCGACTGGGTCTGGTGGACCAGATCATTCTCAGCCTCTTCTATAATTCGTAGCCCCTTCTTCTCTTCCTGTTCCAGCTTTTTCAGCTCCCGTTGCTCCACTCTGTCTAGGATATTTCGCAGCTGATTAAACTCTGTCTGGATCCTGCATCTCTCAGGCTCCATCTGATTCTTCAGGAACAGGGAAGAAAAAGAGGCTGCTAGTCGGTCACACTGAGGGTCTCCTCTATTAAAAGCGGGGAAGTTGGGCTCAGGACTGCTTTCCTGGGCCAAGCCTCCCAGGGAGAGGGAGGGTAAATGCTGCAGGAGAAAGCCTTTGTAGCCTGTTCTTTCCTTCTTTTCTCCCTTCAGCTCTGCCCAGACCATTGGCCCCGGGCTGCTTTATCTAGGCCATCTAGACATCAACTGTGATTCCTGGGTGACGTTTAGATTCCAGGAAGCCTCCCTCACCTCTGCATCAGCCTCCTCTTCCAATTTCGAGTACTGAGGTGGAAATCACTGGCCTGTGACTAACCTGTCTCAGATCTGGGCTTCTTCACAAGCCTTACCTGCATTTTCCCTTGCATTTGTACTCTGAATGCAAGGGAAAAGCCAAAGAGACTGAAACTGTAGAGCAAGACCCAGAATTATGAATTGGGGCGACCCCTAGCCATGGTTCCTCTGCTATGTGATTGTCTCCTAGGTTCAGTTTTGATATATTTGCTATTTACCTCCTCTCCTCCCCCTGTTTGGAAGGAATATAGTGGAGGACCAGGCAAAGGGAAGCTCTTCTAGTCATGGCATCAGAGGACAGACAGGACAAGGACTCCTTTGCCCTCAGCTCCTATGACCTGCCATGATTCCTGCCCCAGGACATCTTCAGAAAAAGTCTCCCTTGCCTTCCAGGATGTTTTCTTCTCTCTGATAAAAGCTGTTAGCTTCTCAGCTTCCTGCTCCTCGTTCTTCAGCTTCTTTAGAGACTCCTGAAACTTCTCCTTGAAGAAAACAAATCAGGTCAAGCAGGATCAAGCCTTCAGTTGACTCAGTACCCAGACATAGAATGAATGGGACAGAGATTCTGCTAACCTCAAAAGAAGCCTGTCCTAACCTAGGATGAAAACTTGAGAGGGCCAACAAATCTTTTATATATATACATGGGATGAAAACCAACAGGGATAGGCTGATTCTCCATCCCCCTTGGGAAGGTGCCTGACCACAAAGCACCTGTGGCTCACGCCTGTAATCCCAGCACTTTGGGAGGCTGAGGCGGGTGGATTGCCTGAGCTCAGGAGTTTGAGATCAGCCTGGGCAACATGGCAAAACCCCATCTCTACTAAACACACACACACACGCACACACACACACAATTAGCTGGGCATGGTGGTGCACACCTACAGTCCTAGCTACTTGGGAGGCCAGGCACGAGAACTGCTTGAACCCGGGAGGCGGAGGTTGCAGTGAGCCGGGATCGCACCACTGCACTCCAACCTGGGCGACAGAGCGAGACGCCTTCTCAAAATAAATACATGAGTAAATAAATTCCTTTACCTACCCTGCCAACATATCTCCACACTCAATCAACCAAGTACCCCTTTTACCCCAAGCAGCTCTATCTACTCAATCTGGAATAGCAAGTAAATGATAAAGAATCTATTCTTAATCAGGGAGGCAGTTTCCAGGTTCATTCTCTAGGTAAATAAAGACTACAAAGAGATTAGATCAGAGCATGATAAAACGTTAAAACCTGCCAAAGACCCTGTTTCTCTGTCTCCCATTCCATCCTGGGGTCTCACCTGGTACTCCTGGGCAACCTCCTCCACGAGGAACGTGTGGTGACCACGGTGCTCCTGAGACCGCTCACAAAGCCAGCAAATGACCTTCCCATCCTCCTGACAGAAGAGCTGCAGTTTTTCTCCATGGTCTGCACAAAGAACTGCTTTCAGCTGCTTCCCAGGGCCCAACACTACCTCTCTGAGCCGCCTCACTATGTTGGCCAGATGCCGATTAGGCCGCAGGTTCCCTGGCTGGTAGCTGGTCTGGCACACAGGGCAGCTTCTTTCCCCTTCTTGACCAATCACTGATTCCCTGCCATTTGGTGTGATGCAGGCTTGGCAGAAGCTGTGGCCACAGTCTATGCTCAGGGGTTCTGTTAGGAGCTCCAGGCAGATAGGGCAGGTCACCTCTTCTCGTATGTCCACCAGTACTGGTGAAGTCATTGTAGCTACTCTCCTGGCTCCTGCCTGCCCAACCCTGATTTCTAAGATGTTTCCTGCCTGTAGAATCCTAGGTAGATGAACAAACAAAAAAAGGATCAGGGTAAGAAAGGAGGGAGAATAAGGGAATACTGACTGCCCAGTCCTGGATAAAGAGGTCAGACACCTGGGGTAACAAGGGCTTCTCATTCTCATATCCAATACGTTCTTTATCCCGGCTCATACAAGGCACCAATTTCTCCCCATATTAAAGCAGTGATAATTTCCTCTTGCTCCTATTGAATAGAGACAAACTGAGGCCCTGGAAAGGAGGGGCCTGTGTGAGTCACTGTCTGTGTGATCTTTTCTTTTTTTTCTTTTTTGAGATGGAGACTCACTCTGTCACCCAGGCTGGAATGCAGTGGTACAATCTCAGCTCACTGCAATCTCCGCCTCCCAGGTTCAAGCAATTCTCCTGCCTCAGCCTCCTGAGTAGCTGGGATTACAGGCACGTGCCACAACACCTGGCTAGTTTTTGTATTTTTAGTAGAGATGGAGTTTCACCATGTTAGCCAGGGTGGTCTTGAACTCCTGACCTTAAGTGATGCTCCTGCCTTGGCCTCTCACAGTGCTGGAATTACAGGCATGAGCCACCGCACCTGGAGACTGTGTGACCTTTTCTCACCCAAAACATATCCTCAATGTTAAAAGCACCTAAAACACACTGCTGCCTCAGGATTTTTGCATTTGTCGTTCGTGATGTAAAGATGACCCTTTACTCTGCTATCTGCATGACTTACTAGCTTCCTACCTATTCCCTTATCAGAAGGGTCTGCTCTGACTAGTCTATTTAGAGCACAGCCACCATACAATCACTCTCCACATATTCACCTCATTAGGGGGTCTTGCTCTGTCGCCCAGGCTGGAGTGCAGTGGCGTGATCTCGACTCACTGCAAGCTCCGCCTCCTGGGTTCAAGCCATTCTCCTGCCTCAGCCTCCCGAGTAGCTGGGATTACAGGTGCCTGCCACTATGTCCGGCTAATTTTTTTTGTATTTTTTAGTAGAGATGAGGTTTCACTGTGTTAGCCAGGATGGTCTCGATCTCCTGACCTCATGATCCGCCCGCCTTGGCCTCCCAAAGGGTTGGGACTACAGGCATGAGCCACTGCACCCGGTCTATTTTACTTCTTACACCACTTAATACAGATCTTTACTTGTTTGAATCCTCGCAGTGAAATGTAAGCTCCATGAGATCTGAGACTTTTTGTTCATGGTTGTATCTTCGGCAGCTAGCATAGAGCCTGACATATAGGTCCTCAACTTTGGATGAATGAGGGGGTCAGAACCCCCTCATCCTCTACAGTGATCATCTGTGACCTTTCCATGAGCTCTTTCACCTCTCTGCCATCACCTTTGCATCACTCTCTGGTATCTGATCTCTAAGACTGTGAAAACACTTCCACTTCTTAACGGCCCTGCTCCACATAGAGCCCTCTCACCACATGCTCGCCTTCTCAGAAAAAAACCAAAGAAACAGCAATGGCCACAATAAGGGGTGGTAATTTTTTTGTTGTTGTTGAAACTGAGTCTTGCTCTATCGCCCAGGCTGGAGGGCAGTGGCACTATCTCGGCTCACTGCAACCTCTGCCTCCCGGGTTCAAGCGATTCTCGTGCCTCAGCCTCCTGAGTAGCTGGGATTACAGGTGAGCGCCACCATGCCCAGCTAATTTTTGTATTTTTAGTAGAGACAGGGTTTTACCATGTTGGCCAGGCTGATCTCGAACTCCTGACCTCAAGTGATCTGCCTGCCTTGGCCTCCCAAAGTGCTGGGATTACAAGCGTGAGCCACTGCGCCCAGCCTGGGGAGGTAATATTTTTACAACTCATGATTCTGTAACCAGTTGTGATTTAGAAATCACATTCTCTTGCTTTCTTTATCCCTCATGGACAACTCTGCATAAATAAGAGTATTCTCCATTCTTTAATAAGAAGAGACATTAAGTGACTTTACACAATCATGCACCTTGTAAGTTGTAGAATTGGCATAACCTAACCTTTCCAGGGTGCTAGTTCAAAGCTTCGTCCTCAAACTCATAACTTTGACCAAAGACAGTCAGTGGTAAAGGCTGTGAAAGTCAGGCATGGACCAAGTGCTTTCGAAGTATGGAAATGAGAGAGATCCTATTTGATGATGGGATTTTGCCAGGGCCTGTCTTAAACTTCAGCAGGATCCTAAGGGGGTCCATATGTAAGGAGAGGTGGCCGGTAAGGCAGTTGAGACCTTATATCTTCATTGAGAAATATGACCTTTATTGTCTATTTTTCTTGGAAGAGTTGTTGATAAATTACGTTACCATTGTTTAAAATCACACTGAGAATACTCTTTAGAAAATTTTTAAAACTGTTTCCAGCACTGAGTTATTTTCACTGGGAGCCATTTGTTCTGCTTGTCTACCTGGAGTTGTGTTTGGGCCACCAAAGAAGAGCCAGCTAACACTGCCTATGTGAAGCTCTGGCCCTGGTTCCAGGCGTGACCTCGCTGTTCTGAACAGGCCACAGTGCGTAGGGAGCAGGCAGAATTCTCTAACTTGTCTTTGGCTGGTTTCCCAGCAAAAGTAAATGTACACTGATGTAAAAAACAGTCCGTGTGGGCCTCAACACAAGGCCCTGTAAATTGTACCAATTTACCCCCATCTTGAGGACCTGGTGGATTTAAAAAGTATATCAAACTGCCTCCCAATAACAACACTCCCCTTAGAAGAAAGGGCCTGAGAAAGTGTCTCAGATAAGGGTAAGAAAAAGTCATGGGATGTAAGCATAAGCCTCCTAGCGGCCCTGCTGGGGGATCTAGCGAGCCGAAAACAGGTTCTTGGCGCTGCCATCTAGTGTTCTGTGGTGCTTCTGCAAGTACTAGCCTGGCTCTTCAGCTTTGCCATGCTTAGCAGCAGCGATGCTCACAGCAAATATCTACAGAAAGCCCATTAGGTATTCAGCAAGAATTTAATTATTTTGTACATAATAACTCAATAATTCCACATAACAACATTATGAATGTCCCTTAAATCTCATCTCATAGTTGTATAAACTGGTATTTAGTAGATCTTTCAAGTGGCGGGGCCGGTGTTGAATGCAGATACGCAGGCTGCAGAGCTGGAGCTCTTATTACTCCCTTATATTCCTCATCTCCATAAAGGGTGCAAAATATAATTAACAAATTAATGAACTCTGTGCATCTAACTGGTAGTACTAATTGGTGTTACAGACGTATTTACCTATCATCTGAGAGTCTGTTTAACCAAATTAATCACACCTGTGGGAACTGCACTATTATTTCCTTTGTTAATATCTCCTACCATACCCACATCATCTCACTTAGCACACTGCACTATAAGGCTCTATTGCCTTTGATAATAGAGGCAATAGAGGCTCTAGAGGCAATAGAGGCTCTATTTATCTTCCAGGTGCCCCAGACCTTAGCACTGCAGCTAACACAGGAAATGATCAATTAACTTTATAATGGATTGAAAATTATAGCTTACTGCTGAGCTTATAGTTGGCCTTGATGTTGGCACTAGAGTATAGAAATAAATGTGCTATCTTATCAAAGTGTTACTGTTAAAAAATAATTGTGTTGGCCGGGCGCGGTGGCCCAAGCCTGTAATCCCAGCACTTTGGGAGGCTGAGGCAGGCGGATCACAAGGTCAGGAGATCGAGACCATCCTGGCTAACACGGTGAAACCCTGTCTCTACTAAAAATACAAAAATTTAGCTGGGTGTAGTGGCGGATGCCTGTAGTCCCAGCTACTCGGGAGGCTGAGGCAGGAGAATGGCGTGAACCCGGAAGGTGGAGCTTGCAGTGAGTCGAGATCGTGCCACTGCACTCCAGCCTGGGCGACAGAGCGAGACTCCGTCTCAAAATAAATAAATAAATAAATAAATAAATAAATAAATATAATAATTGTATTGGTATTATATTTTAATTGAAAGTCCAATTCCAATTCATCCTCCCCAACAAACACATGCACACTTTCATTTCAGGCAAAACTGTATTTAGCGTACCCAATTCTCTTGAAGGAGAACTACTGCCTCATAAATGCAATGTAGTAATAGTCCCAAACTGAAAAGAATCCATGACATCACTAACTGGTAAATGAACAAACTGTGGTGTATCCATACAGTGGCATATTACCAAACAATTAAACTGTTAATATATACAACAAGATAAATCTCAAAAGCATGCAAAGTGAAAGAACCCAAACATCAAATTTAAGTTATTGTATGATGCTATTTATGTGAAATCCTAGAAAAGAGAAAGCTATGGTATTTGAAAGTACATCAGTGGAAGCCAGGGCCCAGGAGTGGGAGAAAAGTTTGAACTGCAAAGGGCATAAGGAAATTTGAAGGGTGAATACATAAAGGGAAATGCCCTTTATGTATCATGATCATGGTGGTGGTTACACAGCTGACTGCAACTGTGAAAATTCACAGAACTGTATGCTTACAATTTGTAACTTACTAGATAGAACTCAATAAACTGACAGAAACAAAAAAATACAAGAAAAATTAAAAGCTTGGTTTCTGATCTTCTAAGCATAATGGAACTGTGTTGTCAAACATGTAGCCAGATATGGCTCTTGAGCATTTGAAGTGTGGCTACTCAGAAATGGGTTGCTTTAGGTACAAAATACACATTGGATTTTGAAGATTTAGTTTAAAAAAGTTAAAGGATCTTATTAATTTTTTTATGTTGATCACATGTCCTAATTGTATTTTGCATGTATTGGGTTAAATGAAATGTATTAAAATTAATTTCACCCGCTTATTTTTAATGAGGCTACTTGAGTATGTAACATTACATATGTGGCTTCATTCTATTTCTAGTTCATTATATGTCTTTTTCCTATCTAATATGCGCTGTAGATATTCATCTAATACTCTCTTTAGACAGAGAAAAATTCTTGAGCAGAAAAAAGATTTGTAAGAGTTGAGGTCTCTTGTCAAAGCTGAGGCTTGGGAAAGAAATTGTGAAGGAGGGGAGCATACAGTTAGCATAGGTGACCCTTGCCCACACACCAGCAAGCCCTGACTGCCCACTGCAGCTAAGTGCAGCCCAAGGGAGATATGGGAGGCTGCCAGTTTCCAACTGAGGCCAAGTCTCCAGAGCAGTGTGGACGGGCTGAGAGAAGGCATTCTGACTGTGAGGAGTGCAGACGAGAAGAGCCTGCAGTCCCAGAGCCCAGTGCATCAAATTAGCAGAAGAAAGAGCCCAAATTCACAACCAGGTGGGACCAATTAAATCAGAACCAGACGCCTGAAAAAGGTCTGCTAACTAGCAACACTGCAAGCACTTGGAGTTCTTTATGCAGAATCTCAGTCTTTCCTGGAATGATTCAGAATCTGCACTTTAATATTAAAGTTCTCTAGGTGATTCTTACGCACATTAAGGCTTCAGAAGCACTGCCTTAGATAAAGGACCTTCTTTCCCAGGTGGATACAATTTAGGGTGCAAAACAGCTAGAAGAGGGAGGGGGACAGAGAATGGCCTGCTATTTAGATACGAAGCATCTTTTAGAATGGAAGCTTGCATCGATATCAAAATGGCTTTCAGAATAAAAATCAGTGACTCAGCAGGGGATACTGGGGCTGGTGTAGGCTGGGGGTTCAGAGTTAGGAATGACAGAGCGGGCCCGTCCACCAGCTGGGAGCCCTAGTGAAAGTGGAATAAAATAGGTGGCAGTTGCATTTATAAGTGAGTTGGGCATGAGTTCTTGCACTTTAGGAATAACATTTTTTTTTATCTTTGTGTAGGGTTATATTTAACCTATTATCTGCAATTGATTATCTAACAGGACTCAATAAATATTTGAATTGGAACATAATCAGTTTCAAAACAAAAAATTTAATTTCCACTTCAAAAGAATTTCTACCCCCTGCATTTCAGAAACCTATAATTTAAAAATTGTTTTGATTGTGCATTTTTTTAAAGCTAGGCATGGAGTTTGCCAGTAATAATGACCATAATTTGTGTCAGGCAGCCTCCTACGTGTTTAAATCTGTCTCACTCAATCCTCACCAAAACTCTAAGATATACATATTACTCCGTCCATCTTATAGATGGAAGAAACTAAAGCTCAAAGAAGTCAAGTTAACAGTCTTCGGGCACACAGCCAGTGTCTGTCAGAGTCAGGATTTGAACACATGCAGTCTGGCTGCGGCATCTATGCTCCTAACCACACATTTCTGTCTCTATTGACTGACTGATTAAAATGTCTCTAACCTCAGTGGGGTCATTTGCAGTGAGAAAGAAAAAGAAATAAAGATATAATGAGTTCCGAAAGGGAAAGGACCTTATCTCTTTCACTGCCCTGTCACCTCTGCCAGAAGTGACAATAAGAGCCAGTCAACAGAACGGTAGACATACCTCTCTGACCCGCACATCTGGGGAATGAGAAGCCAAGAAGTTCCAGATGTAAGCAATATCAGGTGGTCAAAGCTCTTCAGAGCAATCCAAGGCACCTTAAACTAATCTTAAGGAACAGAGCGCGCTCACTCGGCTTTTATCTAAACTCAACCACGCACGACTCTGCTCCGTTCCGTTCCGAGAAAGGCAGGGGATCCCTCCTCCGCCAGCCTTTGGCCGTTGAACGGACGGACCCACAGGTCAGGAGTTTGCGGAAGGCTCATCTCCCAACTCCTTCTGGGAGGAGTCGGGCCGCCTGGGGTGGGGGATAAACGGTGCTCACTTCCTGGAGCGGCCAGGCTGGAGATGGGGGAGGGGAAGGGGGAAGGGGGAAGGGGGAAGGGGGAAGGGGGGAAGGGGAGAACGGGGGAAGGGGGGAAGGGATGCTGACTCTGAATCCACGCCTGACAAAATGGTTTGCAGTGATTCCCTAAAGCAGTTTCCAGAGCTGCCTCCTCTACATACTTCAGCTTGTAGAATAGAGGTTTAACTCTCTTTACACGGCCTATTCCCAGCTGCAAAGGTGCCTCTTCTGTGCTCCCTTCCCAAACTTGAGTTCACTTGAAAATGCAGAAGTCTCCCTCATTCTTCTTTCACCCGTGAACCACCCCCAACCCGACCTGCAGAGCGGGTCAAACTCTCCAGACAAGTGGGGACAGCGGTAGCTGGCCAGAAAATAAACTTGCTCACTAACCTGGAATCTGTGGCCTGGATCAGAGCCAAGGACTTGAAGCAGCCGCGTCCTCCACCCAGGCCGAAAGACTCAGGGGGGAAGGGGCGGGGCCTGGGGAGGAGGAGGGTCAAATTGTCCAGCCCCGCAGGAGATCCAGCCGATTCCATGGGTGTGGTCACCAGTGACCCCTCAGGTGGTAAGGGAGATGGAGATGGTTTCTGAGGCCAGGCGCGGTGGTTCACCCCTGTAATCCCAGCACTTTGGGAGGCCGAGGCGGGCGGATAACGAGGTCAGGAGATTGAGACCATCCCGGCCAACATGATGAAACCCTGTCTCTACTAAAAATACAGAAATTAGCTGGGCGCGCCTGTGGTCCTAGCTACTCGGGAGGCTGAGGCAGGAGAATCGCTTGAACCCGGGAGGTGGAGGTTGCACTCCAGCCTGGAGACAGAGCGAGACTCTCTCTCAAAAAAAAAAAAAAAGAATTTTTGAAGGTAGCAACGCAAAGCTGTTCATCTTACCTGATGAACGGCAAATCCGGAGGCCTTTGAGAACACCAGGCCAGAGATGACCCTTGTAAATTGTCTGCAGTGTACTGTAGCTTTCTAATATCATATCAGAGTTTAATTACACTGATAATACACCTGTACTCCATATAGACGTATTAATTAAAATGTCTAAATAAACATATAAAGTTATACGAGTAAAAGCCCCTTTGCATAATGGCATGTTTTGCCAAACGATCATTAAAATTCATCAGTTTAAAATTACACGTATGTATGTATAAAGCTGTGTGTGTGTATCTGTAATTTTGACCTATATAACTAGAAGACAATCTTTGTTTTTATTTAGGTCTGATGAATACATGTAAAGCTTATTGAGCCTCAGAACTCTAACTACAGGGTTTCAATAGCACAGAAACTCTGAGAAGAAAAAGAATGTCAAAGTTCCTCCCTAAGGAGACTGATTAGGTGAGTATCACCTTGCCTTAGAAGGTGGCTTGGGGAGGGAGGTATAGAGAGAGAAGGGACTGGGGTGTCCATACAAAAGTCTGGACGGAGGATTGGGCAGTAGGGAGAGAGCTGGGTTAAGTATCAAGAGATTTCTCTGGACAGTCCCCAGGCAAATGAAAGGTCATTGGAATCTCGTAAGTGCAGACATGTGTCACTATTTCAGTGACTACCTCATGTCTGCAGGCTTAAGAAGCCACGCAAAGGTTATTTCAGATCACCCTTTGTGTAGCTTTCTTCACAACGGTTTTAGGTATGGCTGCCTCCATATTGCCCCTGGATGACGCTTCAGGTCAAAGCCTGCTTATGCTCTGAAATTCTCCTGACCCCACCCAAACTGCCCAGTATGGACACCACCCTGCCACTGGCCCAGCCAACATTTAAGTCCCTTGGAATACAAAATGGTATGATTGACACCCAGAGGGTTAGAAATATTGGAAAAGGGATGGAGAAGCCCAACCCAGAGTCCCTTCTCAGGCCATTTTCTAAGAGCTGATATAAATGGAAGTAACTTACAGGCTCCATAGTCTTGTCAGCATAGGGCTTCATTTCTGGGGCTAGTAGGCTCAGTTAAAAAAAAAGGATGTTGGCTGGGCATGTTGGCTCGCTTGTAATCCCAGCATTTTGGGAGGCCGAGGTGGAAGGATAGCTTGAATCCACAATTTTGAGGCCAACCTGGGCAACATAGTAAGACCCTGTCTAAAAAAAATAAGTAAATTGCCAGGCATAGCGGTACGTGCCTGTAGTCCCAATTACTTGGGAGGCTGAGAGGTGGGAGGATCACTTGAGCCCGGAAGGTTGAGGCTGCAGTGAGCCATGATCCTGCTACTGCTCTCTAGCCTGGGCAACACAGTGATAATCAGTCTCAAAACAAAAAAGAAAACAAAAAACAGAATGAAAGACTGTTTCTCAGTGTGCAGAATTTTTCCTTTTTGTTTGCTAACCAAGGCAGTTTTTATTTTCTCTATAATTTCTCATCTTGAACAGGGAGATTGGGCATTCTGACGGTTGAGAAGAAATGAAGGTACTTGGCAATAATTCAAGGGGTCTCGAAAAGTTAGATATAAATTTACCACATAATCCATCAAATCCACTCGTAGGAATCTACTCAAAAGAAATGAAAACATATCCGTGCAAAGATTTGTACACAAATGTCCATAGCAGTTTTACTCATATTAAAAAATGGAATCAACCCAACTGTTCATCAAGTATTAAATGTATTGAAAAACAAGTGGTATACCCAATACAGTGGAATACTGTTAGTGTTAAAAGGGAACCAAGTATGTGGGATCCAGAGGTTTGGTGGGGTAATATGATGCATCCAGTAGGACAGGTTTGAAGGTAAAGAGGGCACAGATTTGCTGACAGCCCCAAGTTCCTGAATACTCAGAGTACTTGCAGTTCTAGACTCAGGACCCACTGCTGCAGTTCTAGACTCAGGGTGGTATCAACAGAGCCAGCCTGTTATTATTACAATACTCAATATTAAATACTCAGTATATACCAGGAATATTGTTTAGTGCACAGGTTGAGGTGTCAAGATTTCTTAATAGCAATAAGTGGATATTAACATTTGATAGGAAAGAGGTTTCAGGAAAAGCAAACAGGACCATGACAAGGGTCACAGAATATTCTCATAGCCAAATAGTGATAAAAAAAATACAAACTCAGGAGATAGATTTTCTGTGAGCAAATCTCTAATATGCTCGAATATATTTTCTTTGAGGAAATCTCTAATATATTCACAGGAGAGAGACTTCCTGTGAAAAAAATCTCTAGTATATTTTTTCAGTACAACTTGTTTGAAAGCAGTGTTAGATGATTCCTGTTGTCAGAAATGTTTCTGCCCCTCTCATGGAAAACCCTTCTTAACTCATTACTACCAGCTGGGAGCTGATGGGAACAAAAGAAAAGAAAAAAGTAGATATTGCAAGGCTAAGATTAAGAATCAGGGTAGTTTATGCTTGAGAATTCAGGATAGGCCTAACTGGATTTTCTGAAAGATAATTGTTAACATCTGATTACAGGAAGAACTTCAGTAAAACCAAATGAAAACAAATTTCAGGGAGAAACACCTCTTGTTCCAGAGGCTTAGGGATGTAGGAGAAACAAGCCACCAATTTTGTTTTCAGATGCTTCTGATCATCAAACATGGACCTAATTAATGCATTTTTTTGGTCCTTTCCTCCCTCTCTTTTTTCCATCCTTCTTGTTTTCCCTACTTTCCTCTCATTTTTTCTTCTTTTTTCTTTTTCTTTTTTCTTTTTTTTTTTTTTTTGAGACAATCTCACTCTGTTGCCCAGGCTGGCATGTAGTAGCACAATCTCAGCTCACTTCAGCCACAAACTCTCGGGCTCAAGTGATCTTCCCACTTCAGCCTCTCAAGTAGCTGAGACTAAGGGCATACACCACCGTGCCGGGTAAATTTTTGTGTATTTTGTAGAGACAGGATTTCATTATGTTGCCCAGGCTGATCTCAAACTCCTGGACTCAAGCGATCCACCCACTTCAGTCTCCCAAAGTGCTGGGATTACAGGTGTGAGCCACCACGCCTGGCCCCATCTTTCCTTTGATATTTTATATTTTCTTCCTTCCTTCTTTTTAAAAATTTGTTTTGTTCTTTCTTTTCAGCAGACACATATTAAACTATATATGTCATATAGCACGGTATTTAAGATGGTATTTAAGATGATGGACTCTGGAACCAGTTTTGCCAAGATTCAGATCCTAGCTCATTTACTTACCATCTGTATGATTTGGGGCAAGTTACTTAACCTCTCTTGGGCCTCAGTTTCCCTATCTGTAAAATACCTACTGCATAGAGTTATTGTGAAGACTAAATATGCAAGTATATGTGGAGTACTTAGGACAGTCCCTGAAACACAATAGCTCGTCAGTGAGTGATAGGTAGCATTATTAACTATAATGAAGTACCAAGCATTTGGCAGGGCTCTGGAGTAATACCGATGAATAAAACATGAATTTTGCTGTGCATATATTCACATTCTAGTCAATTTGAAGAAAATCAAGCTAGTCACTTAAATATAGCTTTTTGTTTGTTTCTTTCCTATTATCTCATTTTCTCTAAATCCCCTTCCTAGATAATCCCATCCAGTTTCCTAGCTGACAAAGTCCTAACATTAACTATAGATCAGACCTCTTTTGGGCTCCAGAGTCCATGTGAGTAACTAACTCACAGGTAGAACAAAAACAAGATGTTATAACCTCAGCGGACTCATCTGGTTTAACTTTTAAGTGTCATAGTTGTGAGCTGTTTTTCAATTGCCACAGCCCCCCGGGGCTAAAGGTCACATAGCCTGAACATGCCTAGATAAACCAAGCATGCAACCACAGGTGGAACCCAAATGCTCAGACTGAGGAGTAGGGACTGAATTAAGAAAGAACCTCACATGGCAGAATTCAGGATCTAATCAGATGAGCCCTTGCATCACCCCATGGCAGGATCCAATCAGATCATGTCTCCCAGCATCACCTCATTGCAAGATCCAATCAGATCATACCTCATTAATTTTTTTTTTTTTTGAGGCGGAGTTTTTGCCCTTTTTGCCCAGGCTGGAGTGCAATGGCACGATCATGGCTCAGTGCAACCTCCGCCTCCCAGGTTCAAGCGATTCTCCTGCCTCAGCCTCCCCAGTAGCTGGGATTACAGGCATGTGCCAACACGCCCAGCTAATTTTGTATTTTTAGTAGAGACAGGGTTTCTCCATGTTGGTCAGGCTGGTCTCCAACTCTTGACCTCAGGTGATCTGCCCGCCTCGGCCTCCCAAAGTGCTAGGATTACAGGTGTGAGCCACCACGCCCGGCTAACCATTTCTTCTGTCTCCTTGCCAGTCTACTTGCAATAAAGCTTTGCTTTTCTCAAAAGGTGCCATGGTATTGGCTTGTATGTCAAGAGGCAAGCCCATTGATTGCTCAGTAACAGTATATAATATTAGTGTTTATTTGCCCACCAACTTGTTTATTCTCCTTTATTACTTATCTTGATGAATGGTACAACTAGCCTTTTTAGTTTCCTCAGAAACAATGAACTCCTAAATTCTTTCCTCTTCCTCATCCCAACATTCAATTTTTGTCCTTTTAATTTCTCCTTTTGAAGAAGTTTTATCCATTTGATTTATTTCTCTCCATCTTTACTGTTACTATCTTAGATGCAAGTGTGTCCGGAATTGGTGGGTTCTTGGTCTGACTTCAAGAATGAAGCCGCGGACCCTCACGGTGAGTATTACAGTTCTTGAAGACTGCGTGTCCAGAGTTTGTTCCTTCTGATGTTCAGATGTGTTTGGAGTTTTTTCCTTCTGGTGGGTTCGTGGTCTCGCTAGCTCAGGAGTGAAGCTGCATACCTTCGCGGTGAGTGTTACAGCTCATAAAAGCAGTGTGGACCCAAAGAGTGAGCAGTAACAAAATTTATTGCAAAGAGCAAAAGAACAAAGCTTCCACAGTGTGGAAGGTGACCCCAGTGGGTTGCCACTGCTGGCTCAGGCAGCCTGCTTTTATTCTCTTATCTGGCCCCACCCACATCCTGCTGATTGGTAGAGCCCAGTGGTCTGTTTTGACAGGGCGCTGATTGGTGCATTTACAATCCCTGAGCTAGATACAAAGCTTCTCCACGTCCCCATCAGATTAGTTAGATACAGTGTGTCCATACAAAGGTTCTCCAAGGCCCCACCAGAGCAGCTAGATACAGAATATCTATTGGTGCACTCACAAACCCTGAGCTAGACACAGGGTGCTGATTGGTGTGTTTACCTTGAGCTAGATACAGAGTGCCGATTGGTGTATTTACAATCCCTGAGCTAGACATAAAGGTTCTCCAAGTCCCCACCAGACTTAGGAGCCCAGCTGGCTTCACCTAGTGGATCCCACACAGGGGCTGCAGGTGGAGTTGCCTGCCAGTCCTGCGCCATGCACCCGCACTCCTCAGCCCTTGGGTGGTCGATGGGACTGGGCGCCCTGGAGCAGGGGGTGGCACTCGTTGGGGAGGCTCCAGCCGCACAGGAGCCCATGGAGGCGGGGGAAGGCTCACGCATGGCGGGCTGCAGGTCCCGAGGCCTGCCCCGCAGGAAGGCAGCTAAGGCCCGGCAAGAAATCGAGCGCAGTGCCGGTGGGCTGGCACTGCTGGGGGACCCAGTACACCCTCCGCAGCCGCTAGCCCGGGTGCTAAGCCCCTCGTTGCCCGGGCCGGCAGGGCAGGCCGCCTGCTCCCAGTGCGGGGCCCGCCAAGCCCACGCCCACCCGGAACTCCAGCTGGCCCGCAAGCGCCGCGCGCAGACCCGGTTCCCACTCGCGCCTCTCCCTCCACACCTCCCTGCAAGCTGAGGGAGCCGGCTCTGGCCTTGGCCAGCCCAGAAAGGGGCTCCCACAGTGCAGCGGTGGGCTGAAGGGCTCCTCAAGTGCCGCCAAAGTGGGAGCCTAGGCAGAGGAGGCACCGAGAGCGAGGGAGGGCTGTGAGGACTGCCAGCACGCTGTCACCTCTCACAAGTAGACCATTCCTATAGTCCACTAATTTGTCTTTTTTGTTTTAGCCTGATTTCTGTTAAAAGATGTTTTCTTTTTTTAAAAAAAATGAGAGTTTATGGACATATAAAATGAACACATGCCGAAGATTTATTTAGTTAATTAAGGAGAGAATCAGCAAGATGGTGTAACCAACCCAAAGGAGAATTTAAAAACACACATAAATACAAGTGATCAGAAAAACTTGCAATGAATTTACAAAGAGATGAAAACAAGTCAACATCCACAACAGAATCATCAAATACATGTCTATTTGAGACAATTAATTTGCATTTCTATGGGCAAAATCACTTGCATGATTTTCAGCTCAATATAATTTCCATAATAAATTATATTAACCTCAAAGACGATACAAAGCTAAGAAAACTCAGAAGAGGACACTAGATGAGTAAGCATTTTTTTATTTTAAAATCTTTCATAATTTTTCCTCTAAGATTCCATCTACAGTGACTATTTGACCAGTTTAGAATACAAATAAATATGCTCCACTGTATTTATTATAACCTCTCAGCTTGGATTTTTGAGGAAAAGAAAAACTTCAATTGTCTGAGATAGGTATGATAAAAATGTGTGGCAGGGGGCCCTGGCTCACGTCTGTAAATCCAGCACTTTGGGAGGCCGAGGCGGGCGGATCATCTGAGGTCAGGAGTTCAAGACCAGCCTGGCCAACATGGTGAAACCCTGCCTCTACTAAAAATATAAAAAAATTAGCCAGGTGTGGTGACATGTGCCTGTAATCCCAGCTACATAGGAGGCTGAGGCAGGAGAATCACTTGAACCCAGGAGGTGGAGGTCGCAGTGGGATGAGATAGCACCACTGCACTCCAGCCTGGGCAACAAAGCGACACTCCATCTCAAAAAAGAAAAAAAAAAAATCTGTGGGCAGGTAGAAGGAGTTACCAAAAGCTAAAATGGAACATACACCCTAGGATTGTTTAATTCTAATCACAATTGATGTCAACATAGACATGTAAACAAGTGCTTTTTAAAAAGCTTCTCATTAATAAAATTAGTATAAAGAAAGAAAGAAGGTCACCATCTAGGTTGTGACACCTGAAACTCAAAAAAAAAAAAAAAAAACCAAAAAGGTCTTCATATGGTCTTGTTTGGGGTTAAAGATTAAAATAATAAGGGGATTGAGGACCATAAGTTTTGAAAAACTTCAAGTGGCCAGGCGTAGTGGCTCACGCATGTAATCCCAGCACTTGGGAGGCTGAGGCAGGCAGATCACGAAGTCAGGAGATCAAGACCATCCTGGCTAACATGGTGAAACCCCATCTCTACTAAACATACAAAAAATTAGCAGAGGGTGGTGTTGTGTGCCTGTAGTCCCAGCTACTTGGGAGGTTGAGGCAGGAGAATCGCTTGAACCTGGGAGGTGGAGGTTGCAGTGAGCTGAGATCACGCCATTGCACTCCAGCCTGGGTGACAGAGTGAGACTCTGTCTCAAAAAAAAAAAAAAAAAAAAAAGAAGAAGAAAAGGAAAACTGCAAGTGAGATGGGGAAGAAACTGTTCCACCTTTTTCTTCTTATTGCTCCTTCAATTAAAATTATTTTAGGTCAGTCGCGGAGGCTCATGCCTGTAATTTCAGCACTTTGGGAGGCCGAGGTGGGTGGATCACCTGAAGTCAGGAGTTCAAGACCAGCCTGGCCAACATGGTGAAACCTCATCTCTACTAAAAATACAAAAAATTAGCCAGGAGTGGTGGCCGGCACCTGTAATCCCAGCTACTTGGGAGGCTGAGGCAGGAGAATTGCTTGAACCCTGGAGGTGGCGGTTGCAGTGAGCAAAGATGGTGCCATTGCACTCCAGCCTGGGAAGTAAGAGCAAAACTCCACCTAAACAAAAAGAAAAAAAAAATTTTTAAACATCTGTCCAGTTGAAATGGTAAAGCTGTTGAAGGGATTCTACTATGGTCTAAAAGTTTGTGCTGCACCCTTTCCCCACAAAATTTATACATTTAAACCTCATCACCATTGCAATAGTATTATGAGGTGGAGCCTTTGGGAAGTGGCTAGGTCATGAGGCTAGAGCCCTCATGAACGGATTAGTGCCCTTATAAAATAGACCCAAGAGAGACCTTCTCATCCCTTTCTCCATGTGAAGACACAGCTAGAAGGCACCATCTATGAATCAGAAAGTGGGCCTTTACCAGATGCCGAATCTGCTGGCACCTTGTTTTGTACTCCCCAGCGTCCAGATATTTGAGCAGTAAATTTCTGTTGTTTATAAGTTATCTAGTTTCTGATATTTTGTTATAACAGCCCAAATGGACTGAGATAGGTTTAGAATATGCTACTCCAAAATGTACCACTGTGGCATAAGAATCCTTTTAAGCTGAAGGTAATTGAGAAAAAGCAGACACAGGATGAGCTCTCTGCCCTCCTCCTAGCTGCCCAAAAGCTAAACACAAATTCCTCTTGTGATGGTGACCCCCTCCCCTTGACTCATACTTCTCCGTATTACCAGAAAGGGAATAACAACCTATCACCACAGACAATATGGCATTGAGAAAGAGCCTACACAAACCTTACTAATTAGCCCTTATCCTCCATTAGTTTCCACCACATTTTTACTTTCCTACAGTTTGCTACCCTTAGAAGCCTGAAACTCTTTTTTGTCACTTTTTAAAAATCTATTGTTCTTTTGTTAAGATGTTATGTAAGCCAATGTTCTAACCACCCTTTTGAGTTAGTTATCAATAGGTTTCTCCCATGTTAATGCACATATTAATAAATGTGTTTGTTTTTCTCTTATTAATCTGTCTTTTGTCAGTCTAATTTTCAGGGCCCTAGCTGGAGAATCTAGGAGGGTAGAAAAAAGGTTTTTTTTCCACTATGCCTTCATTCATTTGAGCATTCTCAGGGATAACTGAGAATAACTCTCTAGGTAATGTTAGGGGAAGATTCAGACGGAGACTTGGGAGAGTGTTAGGAACTCAGTGAAAAGAAATGTCTCAAATTCCTTGATATTTTTTCCTATAAATTTAGTTACACCCTCTAAGATAAATCTCCCTTATTTAATCTCTCACTCAGGGTCTCAGCCTTCAATCTATAAGAGGAGGCCCTTTTGCGGTATCTCTTACATGAAACTGCTTCTTACATAAAAAATGACAGATTCTTCCTTTGATTCTAAACAAGTACACATTACCTTTGTGGAGATAGCATCAGGAAATTATATTTTTCAATTTTTATTTTATACTAACAGAATGTGTTAATTTTGTAATCAAACTATAATAACAAAAGAAGCTATAGAAGAAAATCTTGATCTTGAAATAAAGAGAAACATAATGAAACTAATTTTATAAGTATGGAGACTGGCAAACACAAAAATTAAAAATTTCTCTTGAAATTGCTTGTTGACTTTTCTATTGAAAAGCAAATTGGAAAATATATTTTTGGTATATGCTTCTATATTTTGCATATATTCTGCTATATTTTTTATTTTGTAAAGGATTAATATAATTTATATATCAAATATTAAAATCAGTTAGATCAAGAAAACTAGAGAAAAATGAACAAAGATAATTCAAAGAAGATAACATGTAGATACGAATTATTAAAAGATAGTCTTTTTTTAAATTCCAAGTAAAAGAACAATGTGATAATATCACAAGTGATACTGTTCAATTGCTATGAATTTACTAGCTAATATTTACAGACAATTTGGCAGCATCTATCAAAATTTTAAATATGCATGATCTATGATCTAGATGTTCCACTTTTAGGCATTCAGCTAGTGGAAATACAGTTCTACCAGAGGTGCACACAAATATACCTGCAATAAAGCATATTCTAGCTATTTTATATTAGTTAAAATTTTGATAGCAATAAAGTATCTATTAATATGCCAGTTATTTATTTCTTATATCTAGCTAATCTCATTAATAAACAAAACAACCCCTGAAGCAGGTATTATTACTCTTTTTTTACAGAGAAGGTAACTGAGGCTTAAAGAGGATAATTACCAAATTGCCTGGTGACAAACAGTTAGGTAGTATGTACTGAATATGGTGACTGCAATCTAACCCGTCTGTGTGATTATAATGCCTTTTTGTAACTTGGTAAATGTTAACAAGTTTTTATACTTTAGTAAGCATGAGGGGGTGGATTTGAAACCTAGGAATTCAGACTGTATTTAGGTTGTTTCAAATATTTATGTGTTACAAAAATTTTGTCATAATCTTTAACCTTGTACACATCATTTTGTACATAAGGAGGCATATATGAAATGTAACTCCTATAAACGTGATTTCTGGATCAAATAATAAATTCATACACATTTTGTTTGGTGTTTAAAAATTCTATTGTATGGTATATCCATAAGCAAAGTATGAGAGGCTCTGTTTTCTAACATTATGGCCAGCACGAGGTTAATCCTTTCAACTTTTACTAATCTGACAGGTAAGAAATGGTATCTTGGTGTAGTTTTTATTGTATTTTCTCTTATTAATAGTATGCAAAGCATATTCTAATGATGTATCTGTTCTTTATGTTTATCAGGCTTTTGATCATTTTTTTCCTCTACATTTTGAGGAACTTATAAGTATTAGGAAAAGCAAGCGTCTTATCTACAATATAACTTGAAAAGATTTCAGTTTGTCATTGACTTTTGTCTCTTTGCTTATGATGGTTTTTTTTTTCCCCATGAAAGAAATGGAGGTATATGTCTTATTAGAAAATCATAGAGAAATTCCTGTGGAAGAGACATATAAACAGGGAAATGCAGGAAAGGTGGGAATGAGTCATGTAAAGATACAGGAAAAGGAAGTTTCAGGAAACAGGAATAACAAGCACAAAAGCCTGAAGAAGGAAATGAGCTTGGTGTATCTGTAAAACAGCAGTCAAGTTTATATGTCTTCAGTGGCATAGTTGATTTAAATAGTAGATTTACATGCTGCTATAAAGACACATGCACACGTATGTTCATTGCGGCACTATTCACAATAGGAAAGACTTGGAACCAACCCAAATGTCCATCAATGATACACTGGATTAAGAAAATGTGGCACATATACACCATGGAATACTATGCAGCCATAAAAAAGGATGAGTTCATGTCCTTTGTAGGGACATGGATGAAGCTGGAAACCATCATTCTCAGCAAACTATTGCAGGGACAAAAAACCAAACATCGCATGTTCTCACTCATAGGTGGGAATTGAACGATGAGAACGCTTGTATACAGGAAGGGGAACATCACACACCGAGGCCTGTAGTGTGGTGGGGGGAGTGGGGAGGGATAGCATTAGGAGATACAACTAATGTAAATGACGAGTTAATGGGTGCAGCACACCAACATGGCTCATGTATACATATGTAACAAACCTGCATGTTGTGCACATGTACCCTAGAACTTAAAGTATGATAATAAAAAATAAATAAATAATTTTAAAAAATAGATTTAAAGAAATCTCTACAATTCTTTAAAGAATACATTTAATTTTGACATGTTAGAATTATATTTGATTGAATTTAGTTACTGTAAATATTAGATTAAAATATTTTTGTTTTATTCTTGTTTTCTTTTTCCTAGTCCTCCTGGTAGAAACAAAGTTTGAGTATGATACACAATCTGGTTAGGTCTCAGAACAACCATTATGATGTCGGATGAGCCATTCATTAATAATAATTGAAACAATAATACAAATAAAGCTATCCTTTATAGAGCACTTATTTATATGCAAAGTGCTGTTATAAGATGGATATATATTTATTTCTCATTAAATCATTAAGAGAAAGTTACTATTATTATTTCCCTTTTAAAGATGAGAAAGTTGCTGGGTGCGAGAGCTCAGGTCTGTAATCCCAGCACTTCAGGAGGCTGAAGCAGGCGGATCACCTGATTTCAGGAGTTCGAGACCAGCCTGGGCAACATGGCAAAACCCCACTTCTACTAAAATATGTAAATTAGCCAGGTGTGGTGGTGCATACATGTAGTACCAACTGCTGGGGAGGCTGAAGCACAAGAATCGCTGGAACCTTTGAGGTGGAGGTTGCAGTGAGCTGACAGCAGGTCACTATACTCCAGCCTGGGCAACAAAGCAATGCTCTGTCTCAAAAAAAAAAAAAAATGAAAAAGAAAAAGAAAGTTGAGATACAGAGAAGTAAAGTCACTTGCCCAGACTCACACAGTGAGTAAATGGAACAGTCATTTCCAACAGAGTCAATTTCTAAAAGATCTAGAACTCAAAACTTGATCACCACATCTTACAGTTTTCTTTTCCACATAATAAGGATGCTAATGACTCCTCTCTCTAATTTTTATTATCATTGTCTAGAGGATACAGAGAGCTACGTGGAAAGAAAAAGGTGGAAATGAACTGAACATTCATTGAATGCTTATTTGCAATAGATACTTAATGTTATATTATTCTCATCTTCTTCAAAGATGAGCAGAAAATTAAGTTCATGGATATTATGCAGACTCTCAAGCTTATTGACCAAGTAGTACATCTAACTTTTAAATCCATGTCTCCTGGCACCTAGCACAATTCTCTCCTCTACGTGACATTAAGTCCCAGTGTCTCCCAGGAGGAAGAACTCCTGCAAAGAAGAATGAGTCTAGAGCAGAAAAGTGATGTTAAATTTTTTTAAAGAAGAATTTTATACACATATACTCATATTACATATTCGCTATGAGAGGGTTCTCATGCTTTGGGGCAATATGATAAAAAGCCTTCAAAATAATCTTTTCTTTCTCAAGAATTGTACACTCTAGACAGGGAGTTAAGACACAAAGATGAGATTTCTAATAAAACGAGAAGCAATATACTAATGATCCAACAAAATAGTGATTTAGATGAAAAGTGGGGCAGAATCTCAAATGATGGCTCTTTCACTGTGGGCTGAGTATAGGAGTGGGCAGGATTGAGATGTGAACTGTTTTCAAGAATAGTTTGGTCTTGGGCTGAAATTCAGGTTGAGTTGCTCTTCTCAATCTTAGAGAACATCAGCCTAGGCTAATTCCTGATGTTAGTAGTTATAATTGAGCAAGTTAGTAAATAACATATAGATGTTTATATTTCTTTCACTATTTATTAAATAATATATCCATCCATAGGTATCAGATATGAGTAGGTATTTTTGTTTCTAATTTTAATGATGAATATAACTTTTAAATACAAAGCATATTTGGATGGAAAAGAGTCCTATACAATTGTCTACATGTCAGGGAAAACTTTGTCCAGAACAGGTAATGGTTAGTTCAGAGTTATTTGATAGAAGTTGATAAATGGATATGTCCACCTATTTATGCTGCTGCTGCGTTAGTATCTCTGAACATGGGTATATACATGTATGTGATTGTGAATTTGTGCAACTGGTAAGAAAAATATCATTCCATGAGACTATAAATTCTTAGATATGACAGTTCTCAGGGGTTCCCGTCATGAGAAAGATGTTGAACTGGCAAATGTCAAAATTATATACAAGTGATTAAGAACACATTAGGAAGCCAATGTAAGCAGTTAGAAAAAGGTTTCACTTAGAATGTAAACTTGGTTCTTACATTTCCCCTAACTAGCTAGTTTTTCTTGAGGTGATGGGAAATCAGATTGCATTTCAATAGGAAGAGTAAGAGAATGAGACAGATTTTACTAAAGATTTCCAATAAAAGAAATCAGAGGTGGGTTTGAATAGGTGACATATTTAAAAAAATTGGGAGATCGATGAGAATAACACAGGGATAATTGGAAGATGTAGAGGTGAGAATGGGCTAAATACGGGACAATTGATAGGTATAGAAAAGGGTTGAGACTAAGTTGAAAGCATTTATTTAGATCCTTTGGCAAGATTTGAAAACATCTGCTTAGCCCCTTCCAGTATTGGCTTAGTCCTCACTCCATAAATAACGGGATTGAGCATAGGAGGAATGACAACGTAGAGGCTGGCCAGGAGAATATGGACATAGCATGGGACGCTTCTCCCACCAAACCTGTAGGCAAAGACAGAAAAAAGCGCAGGGACATAGAAGAGTAGGATGACACAGATATGGGATCCACAGGTACTCAGGGCCTTGGAGCGGGCATCTTGAGAAAGGAGGCGGAAGACTGCTTGGAGGATGTGGATGTAGGAAACAGTAATAAGCATGATGTCTAGGCCTGTGGAGAGAAGAGCAGCTGCCAACCCATACCAGACATTGATGGAGATATCAGAACAGGACAGATGGGCAATGCCCATGTGCTCACAAAATGTGTGTGCAATGATATTGATCTGGCAATAGTGCAGGTGCTCAAGGAGAAAGATGGATGGAAACATAATGATGAAGCTGTGGCTCAGGGCGGCAGTGACGATCTTCCCAATGACCTTGCTTGTGAGGATTGTGACATATCGCAGGGGGGAGCAGATGGCCACATAGCGGTCAAAGGCCATGGCCAGCAGGACAGCAGAGTGAATGAAGAGGAAGTGAATGAAGAACATCTGAGTGAGGCAGCCATCAAAGGAAATGAGGCTATAACCTAGCCACAAATTGGCCAGGGCCTTAGGCATGGTGGTGGTAGAGAGCAAGACATCAGCACTGGCCAGCATAGATAAGAATATGTACATGGGCTCATGCAGGATTGCCTGGGAGAGGATGACACAAATTAGGATGCCATTGCCTTCCAGGGCAGTGATGTACATGATGCAGAAGGGGATGGACAGCCAGATATGTAGTTGCTCCAGCCCAGGGATGCCAGTGAGGAAGCAGCCTGCTATGCGAGTGTCAGAGTTGTTCATAGCACCTATGCTGTTAGCAGAAAAAAGGGCCATGATTTTATGCAGCGCCCTCACCTGTGCCATAGGGAAAAAAGAGCTTCAGATTTTTGAATACATTAGTAGAGTGTCCATATGCACAAGGCCTGCATATACTTACAGGCCCGATGACAGTTATGGCTTCTGCACACAGGCATATCTCTACAGATAATCACACACAGGCTCTGCACACAGCCATATTCTCCGTAAATAATTACACATAGGCTCTGCACAGTTACAGGACCTGCCCACAGACAGGCTCAGTGTTCTTACTCAGAAGCTCTCCACACAGCTTTAAGAATTTCAGGAAACTAGGCCGGGCGCAGTGGCTCACGCCTGTAATCGCAGCACTTTGGGAGGCTGAGGCTGGTGGATCACGAGGTCAGGAGTTCAAGACCAGCCTGGTCAAGATGGTGAAACCCTGTCTCTACTGAAAATACAAAAAATCAGCTGGGTGTGGTAGCAGGCGCCTGTAATCCCAGCTACTCGGGAGGCCGAGGCAGGAGAATCACTTGAACTTGGAGGGCGGAGGTTGCAGTGAGCCGAGATCGCGCCACTGCACTCCAGCCTGGGCGACAGAGTGAGACTCCGTCTCAAAAAAAAAAAAATTTTTTTTCAGGAAACTAAAGGGCTCAAAAACATTGCCAGACTCAGCACAGTGCCATAGGTCCAGAAAAGAACAGGGATAGGTAGAACATCAAAACCAATCTGTACAATCTCTTTGGGCATGTGAACTGTAATGAGCTCTGCAAAAGCCCCAGGCCCTACAGAGAGGACTGCAGTCCTACAACAAGAGGACTAAACAACAATTTGATTAGCAGATTATGTGAAAGAGTAGGGTTGGGGGTGGTGGGCACTGCCAACCCTACACCCATTTTTCCCTAGGCACAGATGCGCTAAGTATGAAGGCAATTAAGGTAGCTACGGCATTTAGAAAGAACACCGCAGAGGGTGTGAAAAAACCTGGGTCAGAGGTCTGCCCTGTTAACTATTGGCTGCTTGATCTTGGACAAGTCACTGTCTTCTCTGAGTAACAATTTTCTTTCTTTCTTTCTTTTTTTTTTTTTTTTGAGACGGAGTCTCGCTCTGTCGCCCAGGCTGGAGTGCAGTGGCGCGATCTCGGCTCACTGCAAGCTCCGCCTCCCAGGCTCACGCCATTCTCCTGCCTCAGCCTCCCAAGGAGCTGGGACTACAGGCGCCCTCCACCACGCCCGGCTAATTTTTTTGTATTTTTGGTAGAGACGGGGTTTCACCGTGTTAGCCAGGATGGTCTCGATCTCCTGACCTCGTGATCCACCCACCTGGGCCTCCCAAAGTGCTGGGATTACAGGTGTGAGCAATTTTCTAATTTTTAAAATGAGCATAATTGTTGTTTTGTTGGTATATTAAGCTAAATTTTCTCTGTGGAAAGCTTATTAAATTGCGTGTGACTTCCTGAGTCACCTCTGTGGCTGTGAAATGTGGCACTGTCATCCAGAGCAGAAAGGAAGGTGTAGAACAATGCTTCTGAAGCTTGGTCTCCACAGCACCATCAGGGAACTTGTAAATTCTTCGGCCCTACCACAAACCTACGGATGAGAAAACCTAGAGTTGGGATAACATTCTGTGTTTTAGCAAGCTCTCTAGGTGATTCTGATTCATGCTGAAGTTTGTGAGCCACTGATGTAAGAACTTTTTGAACTTTCTTCCCTATCTACTCTAGATGTCTATCAGTTCCACCAGGATCATTACCTTTTAGTATCCATTGGTTTCCCCTGCATCTGTAAATTCTCAGACTTCAACTAAATCTAACTAGTGTTATCCTCAGCTTACATAGTCAGGATGTGAAAAAATGACACAATCACATAAGTAGTCTTTAGTACATATTAGGACACATGATTCCTCCTTAGTCCTATTGAACTATTCTCACAATGAATATACGACTTTTTTTTTTTTTTTGAGATGGAGTCTCACTCTGTCTCCCTGCCTAGAGTGCAATGACGTGATCTCCGCTCACTGCAACCTCTGCCTCCTGGGTTCAAGTGATTCTCCTGTCTCAGCCTCCCAAATAACTGGGATTACAGGCGCCCACCACCATGCCCAGCTAATTTTTTTTTTGTATTTTTAGTAGAGATGGGGTTTCATCATGTTGGCCAGGCTGGTCTTGAACTCCTGACCTCAAGTGATCCAGCTGCCTTGGCCTCCCAAAATGCTGGCATTGGCCTCCCAAAGTGCTGGTGGCTCCCATATGTGAGCCACCACACCTGGCATATACGACTTTTATCACTGCCCAAATTCTGTTTTTCTCTCTCCACTGAATGTTTCTCTTTTGTAACTCACATTTCAGGACTATCAGGAACATATCCCTCATATTATTCCTTTCCTGTACATTTATTTATCTCTGCATCCATCCTCCCCTCATTTCCTCCAGTCCCAGAGAAAGAGGTGCCAGTATCTTTCCTATTTTCCAATGTTTCTTTTGTCATAGCTGGAACATATTTTACTTTACCTAAATATAAGACAAGTTTCTTGAGTTATTTTTTGAGGTGCTGGGAAATGAACCTAGGGCCTCGTGTATGAATATTTAACATATTAGATTGTTTTTAAAACAACCTTATACACACACAAACATACATATGCATACTTACATGCATGCATTCATATGTGTACATATATACATATGCATGTATATACATGTGTTTATGTGTATGAATGTATGTAGCTGTATCGTCAAGAATAATTTCCCCATCTATTCTCTGAATTACCTTTCTTTCCTACCAATTCAGGGACTTTGTTTCATCAATTATTCTCTGTCTTTATCTTCAGCTTCTCCTGATTTCCTGGATCTTTATTAAAGAATATTCAAATATTTTTAACTTGAAGACAAGCAAAAAATTAACAACAGCTATAATAAAAACATTTTATTCTACTAAACTCTCTTTTAAATTACTGTTTTGTCTCTCTTCTTTCCTTTAAAAATCATTCTTCCATGAAAGACCACTTTTGACTTTGATTTCTCTACCTTCCACCAGTTCTTCTCTTGTACCCTGGTCTGATCCTGCTCTCATTAAAGTCATCTCTCTCCCTGCAGAATGGTTTACTGTTTGTGTTTCCTAATGGTCTGTAGCAATCCTCTTCTCACTCTTTCCTCTCTCTGACCAATCTTGTCTACTACCTTGGCTCCATTTAGCCTTCATGTGCTAATATCTCCCAAATCTACATTGCCATTTATGTTGCTTTCCAGGCTCTAGATCCACTTATCCAAAGCCCTCCCAACTGGTCTCCTAGTCTGCAGTTCTTCTAGTCTCTAAACCATTCCTCATAATTAAACAATGTTCCCAAAAGATAATTTTGCATATGCACTATCTTGATTAAGGATAATAACTGCCCGTTGCCTGAAAGATTCATGCAACTAACACACACACACACACACACACACTCTCTCTCTCTCTCTCTGTCTCTCTCTCTCTCTCCCCCTCCCTGCTTTCTCTTTTCTTTGCTCATACTGGAAAGCATGTATGCCCCTGAAGCTACTCTTTTTTTCCTGTGGTCTTTTATACATTCTGCTTCTTCTACTTCCATCCTCCTCTTTAACATAGCCAGTCTATATTTCTCATCCAGAAAGATTTTTCTCATCCCTCCAAATGGCTGGATCAGCAACTTTCTCTGTACTATTGCATTCCCCTGCAGCCATCTCTCTTTCTCCCTATCTGTACTTACTGCACTAAAATATTTTCAGTCCCAATATATTGTGAGCTCTCTGTGAGCCAGGACTGTGCCTCATTTGCTATTGACTGGGTTAGAATTTACACTTAATGAATGTTCAAAAGTAGGTGGAGGAGGTACATTCCCACTTACTCAGCCATGTATGTAAGTTTACACTGACAACAACACACACCAGTACCACAAAAATCACAGGTTTCTTATCATAGATCTTCTGTTCTCATGTTCTCTTCGTGTCTGTAGTTGGTGCCACCATTGTGCTCATTCTTCCCACAGCACCCATCACTCATCACGTTCATCCTCTGCTACATGTTCCCACCTTTGTGGGTGACATCAGCGCTTGCAAACATCTTTCTTCTCCAACTTGACTTCAGTTCTCCTCCTAAATAATGAACCTCCAAGGTAGCCTGTGTCCATCTGGTGTCTCCCTGTTCTCCATCCCAGTAATTTCTGTTTTCACTCCAATTCAGGCATCCGTTAAAGTCTTCACACCTCAAAACTGAGTAACGCCACTTTAAGTGTCCATCTGGCAGCTCTTTGTAAAAAAAACCTTCCACTCCATATATACTTAACCCCCTTGTCCACGAGTTCCTCCTTCAGATATCTTTGGAACCTCCTATCTTTTCTAATATATCTTTTCCAATTAAACATCTCTTGGCCACCATGGAAATTTACATGTTTTAGAGTAGAATCAGGTCAGAGATAGACTATTCAAAGTTAAATACAAAATTAAATACATTAACTACAAGAATGGAAGCAGATTTTATTTACTTTCACTTGGCTTTAGGCTTCAACTCTGCAAGCCTGAGTTCCTTGGTTGGAAACTTGAGTAATACTGACCACATTTAATTCCCTCAGTCACTAACAATTCCTTATCCTGGCTTGTATTCCTAGTTTTCATTCTTAGGCAGTATACTTTGTTTGATAAATTCATATATACGATCTATTACAAATCTAGGCAGTTTCTATTAGAACTTTTTTTGTCATCTGTTGACTTATCCCTTATTGGGTTCCCAAAATATGAATGTTAGTTCCAAACCTTCTCTTCCTTCCTCTCCTCTAAGACCCAATACAGCAGATGGGCTAATCTCTGCAATGACGGAGAAATCTAGACCATCAAGCAAACATTCCTTTATCTTCTTTTCTCTGTACTCTGGCAATCCTCCTTCATCCTCTAATTCTCTTTCATTTTTTTTTAATGGGAGAAATTATCGCTTCTGCTATTTTAGTAAATTTCTACCACCTGTTTTTGAATCCTTTACCTGACTCCTCTGTCCAGGAACTTGACCCATTTATCCCTTATGCATGATCTCCCATATGCTGTAGTTTTCTTTCCACTGTTCCTCAGTGTCTCAGGACATAATCTATCTGTAATTTATGATTCTTGCATCCTCCTTGAGAGCAAAGGATTATTTACTCATCCAGTCTCTCCAACCTTACCTAGAAAGTGTCCCTCCAAACTGCCCTTCTTCCACTCCACCCCTCAGGAAAACACAATTCATTCCAGCTACCCATTATTCTCTCTGCCCCTCTTTGAACATTGCCCATTTCTCATCCTATTCCTCCATATTAATACTTCCTCTTCATCCTAAAAATATCTGACCCAGACTTACCTCCCTGATGTCACCTGCTCAGATTCACGGCTTCTCAATTCCACAATTCATACACAGCCAGTCTTCCTTAATATATAGAATCGAATCTCAGGTCTTGCCTCATACAGTGTTTATTCCCTCCTCTCTTCTGGGAGCAGGGATTCTCCTCCCTCTGTGTATCTTTCCCTTTCTCAGCTCCAATTCCCTCCCCCGCCATCAGGGCTGATTTCCCCCTCCCATTCAACGCAAGGACCTAAGGCACATGGTATATGCTTTGGCATAGAGCCAGATAGAAGAGATTATTGATAGACACTCTTAATATATGAAGAAGGGAAGGGCTCAGCAACAACTCAGAGGCTCTTGGCCTGACAGTGTTCATTAAATTTGTTTTTGCATTTCCTGTTCCAACACTAGTTCTTTTCCATGTCTTCAATTCCACCTTTGTTTCTCTCTTCCTAGTGTCCTTCGTAAAGTCTTTTTCTCTTGGGGTTTTTAAATTTATCACCTTCTTTGTGTCTGTCTGAAAACCCATGTTTCTTTTTTACCTTAGAGCTTTTAATTTACCCCTCCACTGCCCCTAAACATCTATTACATTCATATATTATTCTAAAGGGAGGGAGGTACAGGGATTATTACCCCTGTCTTGCTCACTGAAACATTTGACAATTCTTGATTGATCCCTTCATTGGGTCAGCATTTGAGGTCAATAGTTGAAGAAATCATGTCTCCTTACCATGAACAGTTACCATTAATCACAATACAGCAGTGAGTGCAACTTGCTGTGAGTCCAGAATCCAGATAAATAATTCATCTGGTATAGCTAGGGGAGGCTTCGAAGAGTATCAAATTGTAGTTAGTACTAGAGAGAGAGAGAGTATGTAAGGTTATTGTGAGTGCTTAATTGAAACAATGAATACGAAAGGACTTTAAAGATGAAATAAATGACAATGGCAATGCTTTCAAGAATATAGATTAAGGGGTAAGAAGAAAATAATAACATTAGAACCAGGGCAGAAATAGTAAAGACTAGTATTCAGGGTACAATAAATTGTATCAATCTGTCTCAGAATCTTTCAAAATTAAGATGACTCATTTTTCTGGGCCAGGCTTAACTTAGTTTTTCTTTCTTTTTTTTATAGATAATTCACTCACCATAAAATTTACTTTTTTAAAGTGTAAAATTCAGTGGCTTCTGGTTTATTCACTAGGTTTTTCAACTATGACTACTAATTCCAGATCATTTTTTATACCCCAAAGAGAATCTCCCTGCTTATTAGCCGTCACACCACATACTTCCCTCCCCATTGGCCTCTGGAAACCACTAATCCATGATCTGTCTCTATAGATTTTCCTATTCTGGACATTTCATCTAAATCAAATCACACAATTGTGATCTTTCAATGTGGTTTCTTTAACTAAGCAACCTGTTTTCAATGTTCACCTATTTCGTAGCATGTGCCAGTACTTCATTCCTTTGTATGGCCAAATATCTGATTGCATGGATAGAATGCATTTTATTGATCCACCCTTGGATTGATGAACATTTGGTTTATTTTCATTTGGGGGTTACTATTATAAATTGTGATGCCGTAAAACATTTGTGTGCCAGTTTCTGTGTGGATATGTTTTTATGTCTCCTGGGTATAGATCTAGAAGTGGAATTGCTGAATTATATGTTAACTCAAATTGAGTTTAATTGTTTGAGGAATGCTAGACTGTTTTTAAAAGTGGCTATACCATTTTACCTTCCCACCAACAGTGTATGAGGATTATAATTTCTCCACATCCTCACCAACACGTGCTGTTACCTGACACTTTAAATCTAGATCTTTTAGTAAGTGTGAGGTGATATCTCATTGTGGTTTTGATTTGCATTTCTTTGATCATCTGTTTATGGGTTCACTTGTCATTTCCATACCTGCTTTGAGAAATATCTATGCAAATTTTTTGCTTATTTTGGATATTTGCCTTTTTATTATTGAATTTTAAAGATGGCAAAGATTGCTTATTAATTCTAGATATAAGATCCTTATCAAATATATGATTTGCAATTTTTTTTTCATTCTGTCATTTTTTTTTCACTTTCTTAGTGGTGTCCCTTGAAGAACAATTTATTTTTTAATTTTGATGAAGTACAATTTATATTTTCTTTTGTTGCTCATGCTTTTGGTGTCATTTCTAAGAATACTTTGCCAAATCCAAGGTCATGATGGTCTCCCATTATGTTTTCTTGTAAGAGTTTTATAATTTTTGCTCTTTGTTTTGTGTATTGACTGAGTGTTATATATTGATCTGCAACATTGTTGGACTCATTTATTAGTTCTAATAGTATTTTTTAAGTGTATCATTTAGCACTTTCTTTTTTTTTTTTTTTTTGAGATGGAGTCTCGCTCTGTCGCCCAGGCTGGAGTGCAGTGGCGCGATCTCGGCTCACTGCAAGCTCCGCCTCCTGGGTTCACTCCATTCTCCTGCCTCAGCCTCCCTAGTAGCTGGGACTACAGGCGCCCGCCACCACGCCTGGCTAATTTTGTATTTTTAGTAGAGATGGGGTTTCTCCATGTTGGTCAGGCTGGTCTCAATCTCCTGACATCGTGATCCACCCAACTCGGCCTCCCAAAGTGCTGGGATTACAGGCGTGAGCCACCGCACCTGGCCAGCACTTTCTATATATAAGATCAGGCCATCTGTGAGTAGAGATAATCTTATTTACTATTTTCAATTCTTGGTGTCTTTTATTTTCTTTTATTTGAGCTGTGAATTTTTCATAGATGACCTTTACCAGGTTATGAGAGTTTTATTCTATACTAATTTGTTGAGTGTCTTCTTTTGAAGATTATCTTCTATTTGAAGGATAATTTTGCCAGATACGGAGTTCTTAGCTGGCAATTTATTTTCTTTCAGCATTTTAAATATGTCATCCCACTGCCTGCTCACCTTCAGGGTTTCTCATGTGCTATCAGCATTAATCTTATTCAGGATCCCTTGCACATAATGAGTCACTTCTCTCTTTCCTCTCTCTTTTTAAAATAAGGTGCTGCTGTTTTACTAAGAGGTATATGAATAATGGAAATGCCTCCTGTAATCCTAGCACTTTGGGAGGCCGAGGCGGGCGGATCACCTGAGGTTGGGAGTTCGAGACCAGCCTGACCAACATGGGGAAACCCCCTCTCTACTAAAAATACAAAATTAGCTGGGCGTGGTGGTCCATGCCTGTAATCCCAGCTACTTGGGAGGCTGAGGCAGGAGAATCGCTTGAACCCAGGAGGCGGAGGTTGAGGTGAGCCGAGATCATGCCATTGCACTGTAGCCTGAGCAACAAGAGTGAAAGTCTGTCTAAAAAAACCAAAAAATTTAAAAAATAATAATAACGGAAAATGCCTTTCTGCTTGTGGATGCCGCCGAAGAAGCATCATCAAAGTCTCTCTTCTCCCTTCCCTCATGTCTAAGTCAGAGTCTCCTAAAGAGCCTGAACAGCTGAGGAAACTGTTCATTGGAGGGTTGAGCTTTGAAACAACCGATGAGAGGCTGAGGAAGGAGCCATTTTGAGCAATGGGAACACTCATGGATTGTGTGGTAATGAGAGACCCAAACACCAAGTGCTCCAGGGGCTTTGGGTTTGTCACATATGCCACTGTGGAGGAGGTGGATGCAGCCATGAATGCAAGGCCACACACGGTGGATGGAAGAGTCGTGGAACCAAAGAGAGCTGTCTCAAGAGAAGATTCTCAAAGACCCACTTAACTGTGAAAAAGTTATTTGTTGGTGGCATTAAAGAAGACACTGAAGAACATCACCTAAGAGATTATTTTGACCAGTATGGAAAAATTGAAGTGATTGACTGAGGCATTGGCAAGAAAAGGGGCTTTGCCTTTGTAACCTTTGACAACCATGACTCTGTGGATAAGATTGTCATTCAGAAATACCACACTGTGAATGGCCACAACTGTGAAGTTAGGAAAGCCCTGTGAAAGCAAGAGATGGCTAGTGCTTCAGCCAGCCAAAGAGGTCAAAGTGGTTCTGGAAACTTTGATGGTGGTATGGAGGTGGTTTCGGTGGGAATGACAACTTTGGTCATGGAGGAAACTTCAGTGGTTGTGGTGGCTTTGGTGGCAACCATGGTGCTGGTGGATATGGTGGCAGTGGGGATGGCTATAACGGATTTGGTAATAATGAAAGCAATTTTGGAGGTGGTGGAAGCTACAGTGATTTTGGCAATTACAACAATCAGTCTTCAAATTTCAGACCCATGAAGGGAGGAAACTTTGGAGGCAGAAGCCCTGGCCCCTATGGTGGTGGAGGCCAATATTTTGCCAAACCTCGAAACTAAAGTGGCTATGGTGGTTCTAGTAGTAGCAGTAGCTATGGCAGTGGCAGAAGATTTTAATTAGGAAACAAAGCTTATCAGGAGAAGAGAGCAAGAGAAGTGACAGGGAAGCTACAGGTTACAATAGATTTGTGAACTCAGCCAAGCACAGTGGTGGCAGGGCCTAGCTGCTACAAAGAAGACATGTTTTAGACAAATACTCATGTTTATGGGCAAAAAACTCGAGGACTGTATTTGTGACTAATTGTATAACAGGTTATTTTAGTTTCTGTTCTGCGGAAAGTGTAAAGCATTCCAACAAAGGGTTATAGTGTAGATTTTTAACTTTTTTTGCACCTATGCTGTTGAATTCTAAATGTAATAGTCTGATTGTGACGCTGAATAAATATCTTAAAAAAAGACTGGAAATAACTAGAAATTATAAAATATAATAAAAATGATAATAAAATGGCTAAGAAATGTGTGGAAAAATTTTCAACCTCACTAGAAATAGAATATACCCACCAAGCTAGCAAAGGTCAAAGAATTATGAGCCTATCGATTTTTTTTAAGTCTATACTTTTTATTTTTTACCAAAGAGGTGACACATTTTATTTAAATGCTTTACTTCTTTGAGATGGAAAGTGAATACTGCCATGCCAGAGTGCTTACTATGTGCCAGCTCTGGCACTAAGGCAATTAAGACAAATAATTTAGGAGGAATAGGAACTATTTGAAAGCATTTTCATATAAAAATGATTCTAAAGGAAATGTGCTCAGAAGCTTTGGAACAAACTCACTTCTCTCTTGATGCTTTCAAGATTTTCTTTTTGCTATTGGCTTTCAACATTTTCATTATTATGATGTGGATATCTAGTTTATCCTACGTGGAGTTCTTTGAGCTTCTTGAATGTGTAGAGTCATATTAAAAAAATCAAATTTAGGGAGTTTTTTTTGCCATTAGTTTTGCAATATTCTTTCTGCATCTTTCTCTCTTGCCTCCCTTTCTAGGACTCTCACTATGAATATGGTGGTATACTTGGGTATGTCCCAAATGTTTCTGAGTCTCTGTTTATTTTTTGTCTTTTTCTTTCAATTCTTCATATTGGATAATCTATTGATGGGCATTTGGGTTGGTTCCAAGTCTTTGCTATTGTGAACAGTGCTGCAACAAACATACGTGTGCATGTGTCTTTATAGTGGAATGATTTATAATCCTTTGGGTGTATACTCAGTAATGGGATTGCTGGGTCAAATGGTATTTCTGGTTCTAGATCTTTGAGGAATCGCCACACTGTCTTCCACAATGGTTGAACAAATTTACACTCCCACCAACAGTGTAAAAGCGTTCCTATTTCTCCACATCCTCTTCAGCATCTGTTGTTTCCTGACCTTTTTTTTTTTTTTTTTTTGAGACGGAGTCTCGCTCTGTCACCCAGGCTGGAGTGCAATGGCGCAATCTCGGCTCACTGCATCCTGACTTTTTAATGATCACCATTCTAACTGGCATGAGATGGTATCTCACTGTAGTTTTGATTTGCATTTCTCTAATGACCAGGGTTGATGAGCTTTTTTTCATATGTGTGTTGGCTGCATAAATGTCTTCTTTTGAGAAGTGTCTGTTCATATCATTTCATATCTTCCTGCAACTAGCTCAGTGTCTGCCCAAACGGCCACCCAGTTTTGTGCTTGAAACCCAGGGCCCTGGTGGTGTAGGCACCCGAGGGAATCCCCTGGTCTGCAGGTTGTGAAGACTGTGGGAAAAGCATAGTATCTGGGTCGAAATGCACTGTTCCTCATGGCACAGTCCCTCATGGCTTCCCTTGGCTAGGGGAGGGAGTTCACCAACCCCTTGCGCTTCCTGGGTGAGGTGATGCCCCACCCTGCTTTGGTTTGCCCTCTGTGGGATGCACCCACTGTCTAGTCAGTTCCAATGAGATAAGCCGGGTACCTCAGTTGGAAATGCAGAAATCACCCACCTTCTACACTGATCTCGCTGGGAGCTGCAAACCGGAGCTGTTACTATTCGGCCATCGTGCCAGCCACCCTTCAGTTTTTCCAAATTTTAACACCAGAATGTCTATTTGACTTCTTTTTATAAATTGTTTGTTGATATTTAATATTTGGTGTGATGTTTTTCTCATATTTTCCTTTAGTTGTATAGACATGATTTCCTTTAGCTTTTTGAATATATTTAAGCCAGCTCATTTAGTCTTTGTGTAATAAGTCTAACATCTGGGTTTTTTCAGGGACAGATTTTATTGACTTTTCTTTTTCCCGTGTATAGATCACATGTCTTATATCTTTGAATGTCTCATAATTTTTTTTGTTAAAACTGGAAAATTTAAACAATGTAAAGTGATAACCCTGGAAAGTAGATTCTCCTCCATTCCCAGGATTTGCTGTTGTTGCTAATTATTATAGGTTTTTCTTTTTTAAGTCACTTTTTGGACTATTTCTGTAAAGGTTTTCTTGTTTGTCATGTACAGCCACTGAATTTTCTACTCAGTTATCTTAGCGGTCAGCTAATGAACAGAGATTTTCTTAAATATTTGTGAACAATCAATGTCCCAGGTTGCTGAAGGGCTTCACTGGCATTTTGAGGCACACATTAAACACTTAGCAGTGCAGTTTACAACCCTTTCTTTGCCTCCATTTCCTGCTTTTGCAGAGTATTAAGGAGAGCAACAGGTGAAAGAATAGGGCCTCCTCGCAGCTCTTCACAAGCACCTGAACTTCTGGATTCCCACAGATATGTCAGTCCTTTTCAAAACATGGTTAAGTAATCCTGGAGAAGGTTTTCAGAGGACATTAGCACTTTCGAGAATCATAAATAATAGGTAGAATTTAGACATTGAGAGAAGGCAAGATTGCACTTTTGGAGTAAAATATAAGCAGTGAGATGTAAGAATGATGGAGAATATATGAAGTCCTATATGGATATGCTTTAGGGGAGAGTTTTAGACACATTCACATAGGTAGAACCCATATATACGGGAAAGAGATTGCCTGTTGAGCAGGGAAATAAAATGTATTCTGTAGGCATAAAGGGAATAGTTATGTGCTTTTACACAAGATTGTGAGTGACTTGATAGTTTCCTGTTTTCAGGGACCAATAAGGTAGCACAATTAGGTAAAGGTTTGCAAAATATTGACAGAACCAGAATAAGAATCAGCATTCTCATTCTACAGTTCCAATTAATAATCAGGATGGGTTCAAGTGAGGCAGTGGTGAAGAAATGGAGTAGGCAGATAAAAGAGGGGTTCCAAAAGAAAATCACAGAAGTAGGAAAAGAAAATACTGGGTTTGAAGGAGGAGGAAGAGTCATAGTCAACCCTCAGATTACATCCTTGAGAAATTTCAGACTGAATTAGTTAGTGAGAGGAAAACAGTCTTGGAATTTTAGTTGACAACAAAGGGCCAGTATTCTCTCAGGTTATGGGTCTGGTGGGACATGGTCCAGATATACTAACAAGGTGGTCATGGTAATGGCTATAGGCAGGAAATAGTGGGTTTAATTAATACCTTTTGTCAGCCTTTGATAAATGATGTAAAGGTTATGACAATAGATAGATTGTGTTTTTCTTCGTGTTTGTTACATGATAAAGGCAAAGGGATCCAAGTTATAAAAAAGACTTAAATGGATTCAAGGCCAGTCAGTCTCAGAATCAAATGTGACATTTTGTCCTCAGTGAATGGCAATCACCACGATGGCCACATTGAATTTAAGTAGCTTCAATCCAGGACTCTTCATTCTGTTGGGGATCCCAGGGCTGGAGTGGTTCTGCATCTGGATGGGAATTCTCTCCTTTACCAGTTACCTTGTCTCCCTTGTAGGGAATGTCATCCTTCTCTACCTTATCACTGTGGAACACAACCTCCATAAACCCATGTTTTCCTTCCTCTCTATACCGGCCTCTGCAAACCTCATATTATGCATTACATATTTCCCCAAAACATTTGGGATATTCTAGCTGAAAGCTCAGAAAATAATATTTCCTGGATGCTTCACCAGGTTTTTTTTTTTTGGTCTACTTCACTTTAGCTTTTTTTCTGGACTTGGCCATCTTGTTGGGTCTGGCATTTGATCATTACATGACCATTGGTTTCCTTCTGAGATACACCAGTGGCTTGACACCTCGACACTTGGCAAGATTGTGGTGAGCATTGATTGAAGGTTTAATAACATTTTGCCCATTGATTTCCTGGGGAAGCATTTGCCCTTCTGCAGAACACACATTAATTCTAACACATACTGTGAGCACATAGGTGTGGCCCTGCTTTCCTATGCTGATATCTCCATCAATATCTGGTATGACTTTACTATATTGGTAATGACTATTATCTCAGATCTGATCCTCACTGATATTTCCTACACCCTCACCCTTCATGCTGTTTTCCACCTTCCATCCAGTGATGCCCTTCTGAAGGCCCTAAGCACCGGTGGTTCTCATGTCAGTGTCATTCTCATGTTGTACACACCAGCCATGCTTTCTGCCCTTACTCATCACTTTGGCCAGAGTATCTCTTGCACTTTTTACATTATGTTTGTGGGCCTCTATAGGGCAATCCCTCCTGTACTCAATTCCATAATTATGGAGTAAAAACAAAGCAGATTGGAATTATTCTTTCTTAAAGGGATGCAGTGATATGAGGATGAGAATATGGATAAATGGGCTGTGAAAAATTTAAAAGAATTCTTATGTAAATCACTAGCAGAAAGTCTTCCAATGAGAGATCCAATTTTTATGAATTTTAAGATTTCAGTGCTATTGGAGAAACTCAGTACAATTAAAGGAATTAGGAGATAAGAGAGATAAAGATTATTCGAGTTGCAAGAAAATAATAGGCATCAAATGGAGGCATTCTAATTTTCTACCATCAAAAACATAAATATGGGAAGCACTCATTCAATGGCCTAAAATGAGGTGTTGCTTATTTCAAATCATAAATAAATGCAGAAACTTTTACCCTTCTTTTAGTTCTTTCATCCTGTTTCAATTTTCTCTTTTTCAAATAAAGAAACAAATTAATTTATAGGCTTGTGAGGCTCAGTGTGTTTAAGATGTAGCAAGCTCATAAATTCAGTAAGCATATTTATGCTGAAAATTACCAAGTCTAAAGCTGTACATCAAATTCCTTATATGACCCTATAGCCAACTTCCTATTTGATGTCTACTCTTATATTTCCCACTGAAACTTCAAAATCAACATGTTCAAATAAAAATTACCATTTTCTCTCCTTATTTGCTTCATGATCCACAAATCATCTTGAATTCTCTCTTACTAAACAGTATAAAATTTAACTAGTTTTCCATGTCAAAGTCTATTTTTCTTATTTATTTTAATTATTTAATTATTTAAAAATATGTTTATTATTTATTATGTTTTCTAAATATGCTTTGAATTTATCCACACACTTCACATTAAAATATGATCACTATTGTCTCTCTCTCCCAAGTTTTCCATACCCTAATTTAGGAATTTGCTACCTCCAGTCTTTTTTTCTCTCCCATCCACTTGCTACTCAGAAAATATCATGGTCTTACTAAACTCAAACCTAGATCGACTCACTCTTCTACTTTAAATCATTCAACAGTAGATCTATTTGCTTTGAATACAATCCAAATTTCCTAACGTGTATGTTTTCAAAGCCTTTTATAGTATTTCGATGCCAACCAGTCATTGTCTGGTGTCCACTAGCCCCAACCTCCTTCTTTTCTCTTACTCTTACATGCCCTTATGTTACAATCATACCATATTTCTTTTAGTTTTTCAAACAAAGTATGTTTTCTTTCCACTTGGACCTTTATACATGCTATTCCCTCTGGAAAATGAAGCTTAGCTTGAACTTGGGTAACAAGGAGGAGAAGAGGAAATGATTTTGTAATCTTTTTCCATAAAATACTTTGTCCTACTTCACATCCACTAGGACAGTGATATATATATATATTTCATAGATATGTTTCATATATATATATTTCATATATATATGAAAAGGAAAATAACAAGTGAGGATGAGGAGAAATTAGAACCCTGATACATTGGTAGTGGGAATGTAAAATGGTGCAGCCTCTATGGAAAACAGTTTGGGTGTTCCTCAAAAAGTTAAATGTAGAAATACCATTTGACCTAGCAATTCTACTCCTAGGTATATACCCAAGAGAACTGAAACAGGTGTTCACATAAAAACTTGTAAATGGTTGCTTATAAGACCATTATTCATAGTAGCAAAAATAGAAGTAAAAATAAGTAAAATATATATCAACTGATGAATGTGGTATAATTATACAATAAAATATATTCAGCCACAAAAAGGAATAAAGTTTCAATACATGCTGAAATATGAATGAATCTTGAAAATATGTTAAGTGAAAGGAATCAGACAGAAATGGCTGACATGTTGCATAATTTCATTTACATTAAATGTCTAGAAGAGATACATTTGTAGAGACAGGAAGTACGTTAATGCAGGAAAAGGAAGTGGAGAGTGACTAGTTAGTGAATATGGGTTTTCTTTTTGGGGTGATAAAAAGGCCTGAAATTAGACTTTGGTGATGGTTACACAACATTAGAAATGTACTAAAAGCTACTAAATTACATACTTTAAAGTGGAGAATTTTATGTCATGTGAATCTTACCTTAATAAAAGTTAAACAATATGCTCATTATCATGCAAGAAATATATGATGATATATAGAAAATAAGTCAATTTCATTCCAAAATTTTTGTTCTTACCTACTCACTATTCTACCTCAGAATGAGTCAGGATTTCTGTAGCCCAGAGACTTCATTATCACATCCTTTTTGAGTTACATCATTCTAATCCCAGTGTGTCAGGTCTAACTAGAGTCACAAGAGTCATGTGCTAGAGGCTGCTCCCACTGGCTCATGAGAGCCACATGTTAACTTTCAGGACTTTTGCAAGCAGGTCAACATCAAATTGGTAGCTTGAAGTCAGCTATAGTGGAAATATCTACATTTTCTCAATCAGCTGCTCTACAATCAAGCCCCAAGAATTGGCTGTTAAGCATTCATCAGCTTACCACTGGCCATAGTCCTCTTGAAGCCCAATTCACAAGCCTGAGTGTGGCTCAGGCCACGACTGCAGGCCTTATAAGGCTGCACTTGAGCTTCAACCGCTTCACTGGCTCTTTTCTTTTGAACTCTGATTTTTATGTCCCCTTGGTTAGTTTTACCCCAACGACCTTTCATATTCCTAAACTTGATCGTATTTTTGAGAGTAGTTTGATAACACATTATTTTATTGTGATTTAGATATAACTTTTTAAGTATATAGCTTTGTATTACTATAGGGAGTGAAGAAGAAAGGAGAGTGGGAAGAAGATTCAGGAATTAGCATAGGGACAATGGTCACTCAAAATATACAGGGTTGAATTATGTGAAAGTTGAAGATCATTTACATTAGAAGTTTGCACTGAATTATATTGTGTTTTGAAGATTCATTTTATCAATTTCATCTTGAAGGAACACACAAATTATTCTGGACAAGATACACTGTTATTATTCAATTATAAAGACAATAATAACTGTGTGGTCCCCCACAGCTGATTCTTGCTCCTGAGACAATGCAATGAAGGCCAGGTCAAATGTCCTATGGCATGCTATATGCGCATCATAAGCAAAGAATGAAGAAATATATATTTTCTTTGCTCACGAAAGCCAGAGAGACTATTCCCTAGACCCACCCCCATACACATACCTCCCTCCTTCCCAGAATGTTTCCTTAGATATTACCAGGGTATAAATTTTCCAGAAAAAAATAAGACCTTTCTCACAAGCTTCACAACCCCGAAATGTCTCCACACTTCTGAAGTTAGGTAAATCCCTCTGGAGTTCTCTCAATGTCTGTGTAGTTGTAAATTCAATGTCCGAGGCTTGCTGTTAGCCAAGCATCCCAAGTTTTTGGCAAAATTAATCCAAACATCCCCAACACAGGACAAACACAAAAGTAATTCCTCTACTCCCTACAAGATGCCAAGAGTCTGAACAGACAACTGAGAAGAAGGAGGTCCCATAGTTCTGGAGCAAGGTAAAATTTCTTTGAAAATCCTTACAGGGGTTTCTGGAGGATGGGAAGTGCAAAGAGGCATCAGCCAGTCACACCACTTGGTATAGTAGCAGTGCAGATAGAGCAGCCGAATAGTGTGTTGTCATCCTCCATTCAGAGTCAACTGATAGGGAAAAGCTACAGGAGGACACTTCACCATAGCTAAGTGATCCCTGGTGGGAAAAGAAAGAAGGAGGGTGATAGGAGGACTTGGCTGTAGACAAAGGATAAGGTTTTTGCTGTTTTACATTTAACTTTTTATTTTTATTTTTTTATTTTTGAGAATGAGTCTTGCTCTGTGGCTTAGGCTGGAGTGCAGTGGCATGATCTGGGCTCACTGCAACCTCTGCCTCCCGGGTTTGAGCATTTCTCCTGCCTCAGCCTCCCAAATAGTTGGCACTACAGGTGCACGTCACCATGCCCAGCTAATTTTTGTATTTCTAGTAGAGATGAGGTTTCACCATGTTGGCCAGGCTGGTCTGGAACTCCTGACCTCAGGTGATCTACCCGCCTCGGCCTTCCAAAGTGCTGGGATTACAGGCGTGAGCCACTGCACCTGGCCTGAATTTAATTTTGACCATAATGAGAATGAAACCTCATACCAGGAAACATAATCACACTAATAATAATGACACAGCACATTTATAAAAAAGTGATACAATTTTATAACTTCTAAAGCACTTTAATATTCACTTTCTCATTGGATTTTTAAACAACCCTGTGAGAAAGATGTTAAGGAGTTAAAGAAGAGGGGATGCTTAATGCTTAGGAAACTCTCTTAGAACACCCAGCACTCAGGGCAGTTTATATCTCAAAAATGATTGATCTAATTATGTGATCTTTTTTCTCCCAAATCACATATTTATAACACTGTAATATTATATCATATATGTGAATGGCACTATCTAGTATTATCAGATATTCTCGTTTGTTTGCAAATAAAGTTAGATAGAAGGGGAAGCCTCTACCTTTTCCCTATTTTTATCCAATTTGGGGGTTCACTATTTCTAATTGTATTTATAATAGCTGTTCGGGAGGACACAGAGATATCTAAAATTTAAATATTAGAGAAGTGTTATATATTGATTTTACATTTGTTTGGTAGAAGTAGAAATATTATGTTGTCATTAAATACTAAAAAAACCTATCGATATTTAAAATAATAATGTTTATCTCTGTGAATAACAAACCTTTGAGAACCTACTTCCCTTTGAAATAAGAGACTTATATAATTTGCGTCATCCCTATTTCATGAAAAAATACATGGCAAACGTTTCTTATCATCTAATAGGACGCTCCTCCTCTTCTTTAAAAAGCCACAGTAAGATCCAGTCACCCTCAGCAACATTTTCCTTTTGGAGAAAACACAAGGGCAACCCCTTTCTGAATCTGTTTAGTCTTTACTCCATAGATAATTGGGTTCATCATGGGGGGAACAAGAACATAGAGATTGGCCAGCAGGATGTGGACATACTTGGGAAATTTTCAGGCAAAGCGCTGAACAATGACAGTGAAAATTCCTGGAAGGCAGAACATGAGGATGACACTGCCATGGGAACCACAGGTGCTGAGTGCTTTCATCCAAGCACCAAGGGAGGGCAGCCTGAAGACTGCTTGAACTATGAGCCCCTAGGAGATGACTATTGTCACCATATCTAACGTAACACTGAGTAGTGGTACAGAGATTCCATACCAAATATTGATGGTGATTTCAGAACAACCTAGCTTTGCCAGCCCCATGTGTTCACAGAAGGTGTGGGCAATGATGTTTGTCCGGCAGAAGGGCAGACGCTTCACAAGGAAGACGATGGAGAAGACAGTTGCAAAACTCCTGAACACCACGACACCCCCAATTTTGCCAATAACACTGTGGCTAAGGATGGTGCTATACCTCAATGGGTAGCAGATGGCCACATAGCGGTCGAAAGCCATGGTCAAGAGAATGCCTGACTCCGCTACAAAGGCAAAATGCATAAAAAAGAGCTGAGTGACACAGCCACCAAAGGAGATGTCCACATCATCAAACCAGAAAATGCTCAAGGCTTTGGGTACTGCAGATGTGGATAGAATCAGATCCCAAAATGCCAGCATGGAGAGGAAAAGGTACATAGGTTCATGAAGACTGTGCTCCACTGCCACCACACAGACAAGGAGACCATTTCCTGACACAGCCACCAGGTACATCAGACAGAAGGGGATGGAGATCCACACGTGCAGCTCCTTCAGGCCAGGAACGCCAATGAGGACAAACATATCATGATTGGCAGTGGAGTGGTTGGGAGCTGACATGCCAGAATTATGGTAAGGAACTTTCACCACTTTTCTGTCTAATGTGAAAGAAAGTAGAGAGTCAATTGGTCATAATCAATTAGCATATATTTATTAACCCTCAATGAGCTCAGGTTAACAAGTCTTACCTACTCAGTTTTGTTAACTACTGACCTAAATATGTGTAGTATTCAGCCTTGAAGAGAAATATTCTAAAAATTTAAAATAAGATCACATAATTTTAAACAGATGCTTCAAAAGAAAATCCTGAAGCCAGTACTATTTTCTCATAAAATTGACATAAAATTAAAATTATGACCATCCAAAACTGTAAAATCTTTAATAATAATTGTAGTCTGCAACTAAACATTTTAAGAGAGAAAATTATCAATTTTTATAAAGAATATCAGGAAAAAATAGAAACCAAAAGGTTTTTTCTTATTGAATTAAACAATTCTGTTATCTAGCACACACATTTACCTAACCAACTATTAATTGATTAAGCATTTATTGATCATCTATAATATGTACAGAAAAATCAACATGGGCAGGAAAGGGAAAAATGAATGTAAAAGCTTTCAAAACAGAAATCCTTCACATAGAATTATAATGTATGAAAACCATAGTTCTACAATATAGCTGTCTGTCTGTTTCTCTATATAATAAATGAGTATCCATTAATTAAAAATGAATTTTTTTGAAATATTTTATTACATTATTAAGAACTACGAGTACACTTGGGGATGCTGCTATTTGAGAATGGGTGGAGCTGCAGCAGTGGCACAAGATGATTATCTTTCCTGAAATGCAGGATGAGATTCTGAACCAAAGTCTACCCAGACTTTTAAAAACTATTATTTGTATTTCAGTTTTACTTGTTAATACATCTAAACTTCATGACTTTAAAGAAACACTGTCAGAAGTAAGTAGCTTGAGCAATTATCAAAATATAAGTTGTCAGTATAATTGGATATGTATATCAACCACTTATTTAAACTCTTCTTACTTAAAATACATTTAATAATTTCTTTGTTAGTTTTTAATTATGTAAAGGTTTCGTGTGTGTGTGTGCCAGAACCAAATTTGTTTGTTTTACCTTTATTACACTCATGTTCCTGTAGTAGGAGAAGATCTTAACAATCACATCCAGGCCCCTGCATTAAATCCAGGCTTCAAGTGGTTTTTGTTTTGTTTTGGGGTTTATTTTTTTAGGCTAGCAGAATTATGGTTAAAATATTTATTGCCTTCCCCAAAACAAGTAAATTAGGTTTCCGGTTTTCTTTATATCTGCAGAACTGAATTTGAATGAAAAGTGTAAACCAATTTTTTTTTTTTTTGAGACGGAGTCTCGCTCTGTCGCCCAGGCTCTCGTGGCTCGCTGCAAGCTCCGCCGCTCGGGTTCACGCCATTCTCCTGCCTCAGCCTCCTGAGTAACTGGGACTACAGGCGCCTGACACTATGCCCGGCTAATTTTTTGTATAGTTAGTAGAGACGGGGTTTCACCGTGTTAGCTAGGATGGTCTCGATCTCCTGACCTCATGATCTGCCCGCCTCGGCCTCCCAAAGTGCTGGGATTACAGGCGTGAGCCACCGCGCCTGGCAATTTTTTTTTTTTTCTTTAAGGAGCATAGTGTGATTGACTTTCTTCAAATCTTCCCTCCCAGTAATTTTTGTGCAACCACACCCATGCTAAATGGGTTTTATCCCTGAAAAGGGGCCATATAATGAAATACTCTCTAAAGAAGAAAAATAAATCCCCAACCCAGCCATTATTTTAAATAGCTAATTATGTTCATTAAAAAGAAAATTATTGATCATTAGCGAAATGCAAATCAAAACCACAGTAAGACACCATCTAACACCAGTCAGAATGGCTTTTATTAAAAAGTCAAGAAATAACAGATGCTGGCAAGGTTGTGGAGAAAAAGGAACACTTACACCCTGTTGGTGGGAGTGTAAATTAGTTCAGTCAGTGGCGATTCCTCAAAGGCCTAAAAAGACAGAAATACCATTTGACTCAGCAATGCCATCACTGGGTATATATCAAAGGAATAAAAATTGTTCTATTATAGGGACACATGCATGTGTATGTTTATTGCATCACTATTCACAATAGCAAAGCCATGAAATCAACCTAAATGTCCTTCAATAATAGACTGGATAAAGAAAATATACACCATGGAATGCTATGCAGCCATAATAAAGAATGAGATCATGTTTTGCAGGGACATGGATAGAACTGGAGGCTATTATCCTTAGCAAACTAACACAGGAACAAAACTCCAAATACTGTTATTACATATTCTCACTTATAATTGGGAGGTAAACGATAAGAACATAGAGAGGAACAACACACACTGGGTCTACCAGAGGGTGGAGAGAGGGAAAAATAATAGCTAATCGGTACTAGGCTTAATATCTGGTTGAGGAAATAATCTGTACAACAAACCCACATGACACAAGTTTACCTCTGTAACAAACCTGCACTTGTATCCTTGAACGTAAAATAGAAGTTAGAAAAAAAGAAAACTAATTTTCTCATTAACAGATTATCCTGTATCAGGAGAGATTGACTTATATACAAAGGTAGTTTATTTTTATGTAAAATAAATATCATCTAATATTTACCATTTATTGCTAAATTAAAAAATAAGCTAAACACTTTTCCACAGTATCACCTGTATGTGTTGAACAATGGCAATAATGTATATACACATACATGCATAGATAGGATGTCTGGTAGAGAAAACATGGAAATATTAGCTATTGTTATATCTGGGTAGTAAACTAACAGGTGATATTACTTTTTTTTTACTATCTGATAGTTTCTATTTTTCTAATAGAAATTTATTATTTTACTATTTTACTATTACCAAATATATGACAGTAATTTGATGGAATTCATTTTGTTATTAAAGGGAGTGATGAAAATTTTAGACTTTCATTAGAACCACTTTAATTAATATCCCCAACTTCTAGAGGAGTTTACTCAGTATCTTCTAATGAATAACTAAGAATCTGGTTTTTTCTGTTGGACCAGTTCCAGGCTCATGAATCACCTGGAGTTGTCCTTTGATTTTTAAAAATAAGCTGGGCAGTCTGCTATTGATTACTATCACTTGAAATATTGGTTGGTGCCATAAATTGGCATAGCAGCAATTACGGAGTTACGTTTACCAAAGAATAGAAATGTGTGCACAGCAATATGTGATTGTCCTTTATTCCGTATTAAAACATTTCCCTAATATTTCTTAAAGAGCCAAGGCATTTTTCCTATTCACGAAGATCAACTTGGCAAATAATATCTCTGATGTGATGTCTCAAGCTTTTAAAATGGAAGAAGTTATGTGTGTGAGCTCAGACTTCATAGACAAAGCAACCAAGAAGTCTAGATCAACATCTAGCTACCCACAGAGGATAAGATTTGAGAAGTACCCATAGGGTCCCTGTCTTCTCTATCAAGAGCACTGATTCCCCAGACCACTTACTTGGGAGCATCTCTGATCTGGAGTCCTACCTCGAGTTAGAAGACTAGAGCCCCTCTTGAATAGACCCTATTAAAAGCCTGTGTCATTCAGGAGCCCCTGGATGCTGGCATTTTCATCATGCATGGTTCGGTGAATTAGATAATTATAGCTGCAAAATGTCACTGGGGAAGATTCAGAGAGCAAGGTACAGAGGTGGGCATTATTCCTGGGAAAGGGCACAAGAAGGCTGAAAGTTGGAGAAATGTTGCAGGGGACCTGTGGGGAAATTCAGATTCAGAGACTTGAAATCCTGGGTAAAGGTAGCCAAAAATTACACTCTGAAATAAAATTACTTACTTTACTCCTGCCCACTTGGCTAGCCCACAAAGGAAAGGTTTCTTGCAATCTAGGTGGTTACAGTAACTTCCACGTGTCTGTGTGTCCAAGTTCACCAGAAATGTTCTGCTTGCTATCTGTGCAATCTAGCTCACACACTTCCATCCATTCCTTCAACCACAGATGGGAGACTCCCACTGCGCTGCAGACACGATGAGCCTGAGAGCATTTATGGCTCCTAAGAAAGTCCCAGTGGAGTGACCTCTGGGACTTGTTTCCTGCCCCTGTCTCCAGCTAAACAGCACACAGGGACAAGTGAGCAAAGAAGAAAACAGTAAACTTCTTTTCTGTTTAACTGGCAATAACACCTTGAGTGTCTGTGTACTGAGCAGTGAGCCCCATAGAGGTGCCTAGGATGCAACATTAAAGGAAGCACTTAAAACCCTGAGAGTGAGTCCTTTGTTCCTTAAATGTTGCACTCTAGGCATTTCCCCCAATTCCAGCCCTGGAGGAAGCATTATTTAATTCATCCCTTTTAGCATGTATCATCATTTCTCCCTGGACTACAGGGAAATTCTCAAACTCATTCTGTTTCTAAAACTTCATTTCAATTGCATCTTACTTCATTCCAACAGCAAGTCTACACAGCAGCCAGAATGCAGTTTTCAATATGTCAATTTCATTCTGTCACACTCCCAAGTAAAATCCTCTATCAGCCCCCTCCCTCCCTTAGTCTTCAGGATAAGATTCAAGTTCTGAATCAGAAAGTACAAGTTCTTGTTTACTTCTCCAAACTCATCTGACCTTCCTCTTCTTTTCTCTCAGTCTCAGCATATCTAGGGTGCTGTCCATATCGGGGTGCATACAATTCCCCAAATCTCACAATATTCTCACTTAATCCTTCACATTTGAAATAATGTCTTCTCTGCCTAGCGTATCCCTATTCCTGTCATTTGCCTTGAGAATTTCTCTTTTTCCTTCAAAACACAGCTCCAATATAAGATTCTTGACCATCCTGCCCTCTTTCCTAATTGCATAGTATCTTCTCTGTGCCCACACAGATCCTTGTGCTTTTTGAGGTTACATATTATTTGTCACTCTGCAGTGGAATTGCCTCCTTCTGTGTGTATTTCCCTACTAATCCGTGATCTCCTTGAGGACAGTTAAAAAAAAAAGTCTTAGTCATATCTGCATCCACAGTGCTTGTTACACAGTAGAATAAAATACAAAATTAAATTAAAACTTAAAAAAAGATCACTATGTAATGTACTAAACAATGTACAAAGTGCATTGCTTATAACATTGCAATCAATCCTCAAACCCTGTGAGGTAGCTTAGATCTTCATACACACATGAGGAAACAGAATCTTGGAGTGGTTAAATAAATTTCCCAATTTCATCTAAAGAGAACTGATGGAGTTGGTGTATGGCAGCCAGGAGTGTCTGGCCTCCAGCTCTTTCCTCGTAACCGTCTATACTGTCCTGTAGACTGCCTCAACAAATGGTGGTTGGACAAATGCATAAATATAAGAATAGCAAACTGGGACAGGGTGCATCCTTTTATGCTGGTTATACTTAGGGTTTATGGCATAACCAATGCATCCAGATGAATGCCACCTTTCCAGATGAATGTCTCTTGAAGAGGCTAGGTGCCTGCTAAAAATGTTTGCTATTTTTCATAATTTTGATGTTTTCATTAGACTTCCTTCCTTCCTTCCTTCCTTCCTTCCTTCCTTCCTTCTTCTCTCTCCCTTCTCTCTCTCTCCCTTTCTCTTTCTTTCTTTCTCTCTCTCTCTTTCTTTCTTTCTCTTTCTCTTTTTCTTTTCATTTTTAGCATATGAGCCACATATATTAAAACACACATAACAACCACCACCACCACCACCACCAAGTACCTGCTGCTTTCAAGGAGCTTATTTCCACATCTAGCTCCTTCTTACCTGAAGGACTTTACACACACTTTTCTTTCTAAATGCTTTCCTTTCTGTTTTAGCCTACTGAAAATAATATAGTGTAAAGTGGAGTCGAAGAAAAGATCTGAGGTCAAACTACCTGTTAGAAATTTGGCTTTTCCACTTAACAGCTGAACAAATTTGGATATACTTTCTGTGTATCATCTTTTTTCTTGTCTGTAATATGGAAACAATAAGGGGGACCTACCTCTCTGGGAGGGAGGAAGGGCTAAATTCAATTGACTTACAGGTAGAATTCAGTATTATTTATTTTATTATATTTTTGTTAAAATCAACCTCATTTTACAATATCTTCCTCCAAGAATCCTTTCCTATCTCCTGCAGGTCCAATCGTCTTTGTTATTGATTCTCATGATAACCTATATATTTCCATAACATACATCGCAGGTAATAATTATTCTTATACATATAACCTACTGCTTATTTGAATAGTGTCTGTCTTCCTCAATAAATTATCTCCACCACGAGAGGCATTGCATCTGTTTTATACACACTATCTTTCCAGTACCTATTACATGCTTACATCTTTATTGACTGATTGGCTGCTACCCATTTCCCAGCACTCCGCTAAATATACCTAGATGATGTAAATTTACCAAAATATATCATAACTTCATGCCTCTAAGCCTTTGTATGTGTTGCTTTCTCTGCCTGAAATGTTTTTTCTCTGTCTTCTTGAGTAATCTGCATCATCCTCAAGACTCACATTGTTTCACCTATTTCTCAAGATCTTCTCTGATGCTACAGGTTTTGATAATACCTCTCCACTCAGTTTCCACAGGCATCTTTGAATTCCCTATGACTTTCATTCTGCATTGAAATTTTCTTTTACAAATCTGTTGACTTTAGCAGGTAATGTTCTCTTAAGAATAGACTGATATGTGTTTCTGAATACCTAAGGTTTAGCATCATGTCTGGTTTCCTGGGCCTGGCAAATTATTTGTAGTATTAATAAACATTTGTTCCTTTTAACTGTGCAAACTACCTTTTGTCCTGTTTAATGCTTTCTAAGTTAAATTTTACTTTTTATGCTTTCCATTTTGCTAGACTTGCTTCCATCACATTTAAATTTGTCAGAAACACACTTGTCTATCCTTTTTATCCTTGTTTATTCACACTTGTTTATCCTTTATGCATCATTTTGTTTTAGATCTTACTCATATAAGTGACATATAATTGAATTTTTAAACTTTATTTATCTTTGTGCTTTTTGATAGAGGAATTCCAGCAATCTACATTTATAAGCATAAATGATGTATTTGGTTTTATGTTGTTAACTTGTTTTATATTTTTAGTTTTCTATATATTGGTTAATTTTGTATCTTTTGCTATGCAGATATTATACATGTTATTTGCCATACAGACTCTGTAGATAATTTTGGTTATATATAGAGGAGTCTAGGAAAAGACTCGTGGGTCTGATTCCCAGCACTACCATTTCCTTCTTGTGTGACTTTTGACAAATCACTTTTCTCTGCATCCTTAAAATGTGGATAATATTATTACCTGTCTCATAGAATTGTTAAGAAAATTACAAAAGTGGTCTCATGTAGTATATTAAAGGTTTTCAAAAAATATTAGCTTCTGTTATAAAGTTTATTTGCTTTTAGCTTGACCTAGGATTTAGAATATATAAATTGTATTTTTCTTCCACTAGAGGTCCTCTCTGTATTTGTAAAAAGCACACAAACCAATTTTCTCTGATTCTTAAACAAGATTTCCTCATTAATTCCTAAGGGTGGACTGAGATTGAGCCTCATACCCTTTCTCATTTCATTCATATAGGAGGCATCAAACATCACAATCTCAGAGAACATTCTGGTCTACAAGCCTTAAGTCTCTCTATGTAGTGTCTGAGATATCAGAACAGTCGTTGAAATTGGGGTAGGGTCAGTGTTGGGACAAATTACAGTTCCAGTGATCCGTTTCTTTACATCCTTTGCTACACGTCCACGCCTCTTCTGAATTCTTGGCATCTCACAGTGAGTTGAAGCAGTTACCTGGTGTAACAGCAACATGAAAGAGTAGTGGCTGTGGAATCTAATGACCTTGGCTCTGCTAGTTACTAAAGGTGAGATGTTAGGTAAGATTATGTCTCAGTTTCAGTTTCTGTAAAAAAAAAAAAAAATGAGGTGGATAAAAATACGTATCTCAGAAGGTTTTTCTAAATAAGATAATATTTTTCAAGAAACTGGCATGTACTAGGAGTCAGTAATTGTTAATTATCTCATTTTCCCAACTGTGACCCAGTATTTTTCAGTTTCTTTCTATCCCTGCATGTAGTTAGACTACTTTTCTCTATACTCATATTTATATAGCAGCAACTTACATTGACCCAGGGAGAACTCAGTCATTAAAATGGGAACAGCAGTTTATGCAGTTTGAAGAAGATTCTAGAGTAACTGGATGATTAGTATCAGAAGTATTGGGTCTGAGAGTCTTTCTTCAAGTGATGAACATTGCTGTTAATATCAATGAGAGGTTTTTTCTTGGAATATAGGAAAGAGGCGGACCAGCCCCTAGGAAGCAGTGGAGGAAGAATTACCATACAATTTCCTCATGTTCATTATAAGCAATTTGTTTTTAGGACACAGAAGCTATTGATCTTAAAGGCCATGTACAACATGAGTGACCATGGTACAGGCCTGTTCATCCTTTTGGGTATCCCTGGACTTGAGCAGTACCACGTCTGGATCAGCATCCCATTCTGCTTAATCTATCTCATGGCTGTCGTGGCCAATAGTATCCTTCTCTACCTCATTGTGGTAGAGCACAGTCTTCATGCACCCATGTTCTTTTTCCTTTCCATGCTGGCCATTACTGATCTCATATTGTCCACCACATGTGTCCCCAAAACACTTAGCATCTTCTGGTTTGGTCCCCAAACAGTTTCCCTGGCTGTCTCACCCAATTATTCTTTCTGCACTATAGCTTTGTGTTGGACTCAGCTATACTGCTGGCCATGGCATTTGACCGCTATATGGCCATTTGCTCACCCTTGAGATACACTACTATTCTGACTCCCAAAACCATTGTCAAAATTGCTGTGGGAATATGTTTCCGAAGTTTCTGTGTTTTTGTCCCATGTGTTTTCCTTGTGAATCGTTTACCCTTCTGCAGGACACATATCATTTCTCACACATACTGTGAGCACATAGGTGTTGCCCAGCTTGCCTGTGCTGATATCTCCATCAATATCTGGTGTGGATTTTGTGTTCCCATCATGACGGTGATGACAGACGTGATCCTCATTGCTGTCTCCTACACCCTCATCCTCTGTGCTGTCTTTTGCCTCCCCTCCCAAGATGCCCGTCAGAAGGCCCTTTGCTCCTGTGGTTCCCATGTCTGTGTTATCCTCATATTCTATATACCAGCATTCTTCTCCATTCTTGCCCATTGCTTTGGGCATAATGTCCCTCATACCTTTCATATTATGTTTGCCAACCTTTATGTAATCATTCCACCTGCTCTCAACTCTATTGTCTACAGAATAAAGACCAAGCAAATCCAGAACAGAATCCTTTTGCTCTTTCCCAAGGGGTCCCAGTGATAGGTGCCTGAGCTCTTGGAGGTAGGGACAAGTTCCTAGTGTGTGTTAGGTCAAAGACTGAACCTGTGTTCAGACACCCAAGAGAAAGGACAGACTAAAATTTATTAACGAAAACTTGAGTTTTGCTTTCTTTGTGATTTGAGGCAGAAGTCTACTCAATCATTTCAGTTATAGCAAAGTAAGTTCTGAGTCTAGGAAATAATAAATATTTTTTGACTTCTAGAAACAAGAACTTTTGTAATTCCTTATGATTGCTCTAAAGTGATTATAAAACTTTTAATGAAGACAATGTAATGATTGGCAAATCTGAATGGTTTTTCAGATTTATTTATCATGGTAGTTTATTTATACATCATAGCAAGGCAGGAAAATTACCTCTTTGATGACTCTGCAGGGTTCTGGGTTTTTACTTTGTTCACTCCTATTAATTTCTAAACAACATCAAGTATAATACCTAGCACACACTAGGGACATAGGCAACATTTATCAAATAAATAAATGGCAAATAATCATAAAATTATTAATTTAAGAGTGCAGGTGTTTATATTAAGCAAAGGGATAAGGCAATGATAAAACTCAATGTTTAACTCAACCTTGAGAAAGCCAAATGAGTTGTGGGTGGGTGGAGTTTTCCACAAGGAATAAAAGGAGGAAGGCAAATTCCTATGGCTAGTAAAATGGTAAAGCACGTACAGACTAAGAAGTGGGTTTAAGACTTGACCAATTGGAAGCATTGGTGGTCTCAATTTTTTTCATGTTTGTATCTCCATAGAGATGTAGTCACAAGCCAAAAATGTACCTCTGTATGATTCATTGTCTCTTCAAATCCAGTATGCATAACTTGGTCATAGTGAGTCATTCAGTCACTTGGTCAGTAATACTTATTTTTAGGTGTCTGCCAGGCAGCAATGATAATCAATGTCTTATTTCCCTTTCAAATCTGATACGTCCTCAAAACCTGTGGTTTTTTTCTAAATAACCTCTTGGATTCCCCGGCTGAGTGCAGGCACCCTCCTCCCCTACCCCAGTAGTTCAAACCCTCACTGCTTTCACTTGACTCAAAATATCAGAGTTGTTCATGGTCTCTTTACCTTGAGACTACTTTCCCATCCCCGTGCTACTACCCTTTTCACATGTCATTGAATTTTTATTTCTACAATGGCTCTCAACATATAGTTTTAATAGAAAAGAATGTCCTTTGGACTCGGAGAATTGTGTTTGAATTTATAGTCTATCTCTTAACATGTGACAATAGCTACATGCATTGTTTCCAAAATTACTTGATGTATTTTGCATACCATAAATAAAAATATAGTCAGGTCCCACTTAACAATGAGGATAGAGTCTCATAAATGTGTTGTTAGATGATTTTATTATTGTGCAAATATCATAGAGTGTACTTACACAAACCTGTGTGATACAGCCTTGGCTCTCTATTATATTCTATAGCTCCTAGGCTACAAAACTGTACATCATGTTACTATACCGAATATTGTAGGGAAGTATAATATAATGGTATTTGTGCATCTAAACATGTCTAAACATAGACAAGGTACTCTAAAATATGGTATTGTAATCTTATGGGACAATTGTTCAGAAACATTGTTATGTGGCATATTACAAAGTATAAATAGAAAAGGCAAAAAGAAAAGTAGAAAGATTTTTAAAAATTAAGACAAAAAATAGGCCGAAAATACACTTTCCACCTGCTATGAATTTTTGTTCTCTTATTATATGTGGGTCAGAAATTGAGCTGTAAGCTTTCTAACAGTCTATGTGAGAGTTAAACATGATTAGCTACATAATTCATGATGGCTATAAGTTACAGACAGTTAATTGTTAGAGAAGCAAAACTACTTCTTATATGAAGAATGGAGAAATATCTTTAGAAAGCTCTTAAAGAATAGGCAGTAAGTGATGCAATTAATCACATTCTTACAGAATACACAAGTTCATGTGACTCTTCAGTCCCTTATCCTAGTATAGAGAGGTGAAGCAACCTCAATTTTTATTCAGCGAAAGGTAAAAATTCTGTTGGGAGCCAATACAATACTAATCTCATTAGTTCTGGTTTATTCCAGATATTCTAGAACATTCAGAGTACTGAGTGGACTCCTGGCAATCTTTATTAATTAACACATTCAACAATATTTAGCAAACGTTTGACAAACATTGACAAAAACTGACTTGGCTTTCAGAATTGTTGGGTAAAAGCCTCTTAGGTAAAAATTGATATCTGGACTTGCAGAAATTCCTGACAGTACCAGCTGGTAGACCTAACAGTTTCTCCATAAGAATATATTTTATTTGCTCATATTGTTTTTACCAATAAAAATGTTTAATGAAGTTTAATGTTTTAAAAATTATAAGTGGGAGATAAGCTATAGGTATGCAAGGGCACACATAGTAGTATAATGGACATTGGAGACCCAGAAGAGGAGAAGCTAGGAGAGGGGTGAGGGATGAAACATCACCTATTGAGTACAATCTACGCAATATGGGTGACAGGTACGCTAGAAACCCAGACTTCAACCTTATACAATTCACCCATGTAATCAAAAAACACTTGTACCCCTAAAGCCACTGGAATTTTTAAAAGATAATATTAGAATTATTTCATGTGGGCCATATAATTTTCATCTTAACAGGTGCCCTAGGTTATTCCTTTACACCATAAGTTTGCCGATATGTTAAGCATTTTCACTAGCAGTATCCTATTAATTTGTCAATCCTTATAAAATCTTGAGAGACAGGTACTAATATGACCACCTTTTAATGGAAATTAAGTAACTCATCCAAAGTCCTTTATCTGGTAAGTGAGGGCATGAACTTGAAACCTGGGTGATATGATAGGCACATACACACAGCTTTCCACCCACATACACATCAGCTTACAAATAAATAAATAAATAAAGCACTCTAAGGCAGTGTTAACTCAAAGGCATGAACAAGGTTAATAGAATCTTTTTCATCTTCTTCCCTTGAGGGTGAGAAGAGGGCATGTCAGAGTCTCTAATCCCCTAACTACCTACCTTTTCCCCACAAGGAGCAGTGAGTGATCAGAGAAAATAAATGGACAGGGAATCAACCTCTCTAACGTCCTTCCTTTTCCTTCCACTCATGTTTTTTTTTGGTTGGTGTGTCTGCTGTCTTGTAGATTTTGTCAACACACTCTTTCTTCTTTCCCTTTGGCCTGATCCCCAAGATTTGGTGAGTATTGGCTGTTTGAAGGGGTTTGATTGGGACAAGACTTAGAGAAAGTGAGTGAAAAGCCAGGGCTCTATTTCTTAGGGACCATGGGCTGGGCACTATAATTTTCTTTCCTGAGCAACTCCCATTTATAAACTGAGGTCCTGATCTCCAGTACTTGTGTATATGCTCCACTGAGTTAAGCATCAAAAGATCAGAACAGATGGACAATTACACAGCTGCGTTAAGTATGACCACAGTTAGCAGTGTTAGGAAATTTCTGTTTCAGACATGTGACAAGAGTCCATAACTCTAACTTAAAATGTAGAATTAAGTGTGCTGGTATGTGTGTATGCCCAGGGGTGCTCCTGTTAATTTTTATCCATCTTGCAATTTCTGTTCTCTTTTCCACTGCATGGTCTGGTTGTTAATGATAATACTAATGATATAAAATATAACCTAATATAAAGAAGTAAAACTTGTTACATGCTTACTATGTTTCAGGTACTATATTAAAGAATATTTTTCGGCTGGGCGTGGTGGCTCACGCCTATAATCCCAGCACTTTGGGAGGCTGAGGCAGGTGGATCACAAGGTCAGGAGTTCAAGACCAGCCTGGCCAACATAGTGAAACCCGTCTCTACTAAAAATACAAAGAAATTAGCCAGGCATAGTGGCGGGCACCTGTAATCCCAGCTACTCGGGAGTCTGAGACAGGAGAATCACTTGAACCATGGAGGTGGAGGTTGCAGTGAGCCAAGATTGTGCCACTGCACTCCATCCTGGGCAACAGTGCAAGACTCTGTCTCAAAAAAAAAATTCTTTTTTCAATGTGTATCATTTTGTCCTAATAATAATTATAAAAATTAGAAATATTAATTTCTTTTAAAAACATAGGAACCCAAATATCATGTAGTTTAAATAGCTTGCCCAGATTCACATAGCTAGTAAATTGTGGAACCAGGATTAAATTGTGAAACCTAGCTTTCTGAGGCTCCAGAGTACATGCTCTGTGCCAATATTTTGCTAACATACTGTGGATGCCTGAGAGTATGTATGTGTATCTACCATAATACCATAATTATTGCTGATAAAATTAACACTAGTTCCTTTATATCACTCAATACCTAGTCCATATTTAAGTTTCCCTAACTATTCATTAATTGAATTCAATACCTGGTTTGTTTAAACAGAATTCAATCAAGAACTACACTGCAGGCCGAGCGTGGTGGCTCACGCCTGTAATCCCAGCACTTTGGGAGGCTGAGGTGGGTGGATCACCTAAGGTCAGGAGTTCGAGACCAGCCTGGCCAACATGGTGAAAGCCCGTCTCTACTGAAAATACAAAAATTAGCTGGGGGTGGTGGCGGGCGCCTGTAATCCCAGCAACTCGGGAAGCTGAGGCAGGAGAATCGCTTGAACCGGGGAGGCGGAGGTTGCAGTGAGCCGAGATCGTGCCACAGCACTCCAGCCTGGGTGACAGAGTGAGACTCTGTCTCAATAAAATAAATAAATAAATAACCACACTGCATTTATTTGTTTTTCTCTTAAATGTACTTTAATCTGGAAATGGATTTTCCTTATCTAATATTCCCCTTCCCCCTTTAATGGCATTGACTTGAAAAAAGAAAACAGATTGTTGTAGATTTTTCCACATTGTGGATTTGTCTGATTGTTAAATGAGAGAGTTAACCGTCTGTGCACCCGTGTGTGTTTGTGAATGCTTTTGGATGACTTCATGAACATCTGTTGTATTTGAGTTCATGGAAATACAAAAACTTGAGAAAACCTTTCCTCACATATGTATGAATAAAGGATGACCTCAGACAAGTTGGGAGTGCTGTGAGTTGTTATAGAGGCATTACTGGGGAAGAAGGTATAGGACCAGTGGAGAGGTTTTAGGAATTTACAAAGCCTGTGACAGTGACAAAATCTAATTGTGAAACATTTTGTTTATATTGTCAGCACATGTGTCGGGGGAAGATGGGAGGACAGGGGGCTTGTAATTGTGTAAGATTATGTATGGGTAAATATATGGTGGCAAAATATATGACAGAATGTAAGTGTAGGTCTGGATATGCCTGAGAATGTAAGTATTAAGGGTCTGTGTTTGAGAGAGTATGTGTCTTGGGTCGATGTGTCTCTCTAATAGATGTATGTTCACAAAAAAGCAGTCCTTCTTTTGGACAGAAACCTTGACTGATAGTGTCACTAAGTCCACAGTATTAGAATATTATTCACTTACGTAGTATATAAAGTGTTGGAAAACTATTGAATTTTTTTTTTTTTTTGAGGAGAAAGGCTAGTGAACCTCAGCTATAAGGGAATTTTTTAGTTTAAATCTGACTTACACATGTTATCCAGCATAGTGTAGGAACTCATCTGGTGTTTGCTGAACTGAATTAGGTTTTTAGATGGCAATAAAGGGGTGCTGATCTTACAAATGTAAGAGCCACAGTCATCAGGTAGCTTTAAGAGAAGCAAACAGTTGTCTTGGGGGCAGAGACAGATAATTCACAATGACAGAGCAAGCAGATCCTAAACAATGATGTCCATAAGGTCATATGAGCTATAATCCACCATGAAAAAGTGTATTCTGTACTTTGTTAACTTGTATGGGAGAACAGTGTATAAGGAAGAGTGTAACCAGTCTGGAAGGCTTCCTGTAGAAGCTGTGCAAACTACTGGGGGAGGTCAGAAGAAAGAAAAGATTCTCTTCAGGTAGTTTAATAATGTATCTATTTGTATCTGGAACAATCTTGGTTTTTGCATGTTGCTACCATTATTACTAATTTTAACCTTTGTTCATTTCAGACAGGTTCTATTTTGGATGACAAATTATATGGTCACTTTATCTTCAGGAGGCAATAATTATAATTAGTTGAAAGTTTGAGAGTTACTCAAGTTTCTCTATCCTTAATCACCCTCTGTCTTTAGGGGCTGAGATTTATGCCATCTGCCTCTGCCATGATCATTTTCAACCTGAGCAGTTACAATCCAGGACCCTTCATTCTGGTAGGGATCCCAGGCCTGGAGCAATTCCATGTGTGGATTGGAATTCCCTTCTGTATCATCTACATTGTAGCTGTTGTGGGAAACTGCATCCTTCTCTACCTCATTGTGGTGGAGCATAGTCTTCATGAACCCATGTTCTTCTTTCTCTCCATGCTGGCCATGACTGACCTCATCTTGTCCACAGCTGGTGTGCCTAAAGCACTCAGTATCTTTTGGCTAGGGGCTCGCGAAATCACATTCCCAGGATGCCTTACACAAATGTTCTTCCTTCACTATAACTTTGTCCTGGATTCAGCCATTCTGATGGCCATGGCATTTGATCACTATGTAGCTATCTGTTCTCCCTTGAGATATACCACCATCTTGACTCCCAAGACCATCATCAAGAGTGCTATGGGCATCTCCTTTCGAAGCTTCTGCATCATCCTGCCAGATGTATTCTTGCTGACATGCCTGCCTTTCTGCAGGACACGCATCATACCCCACACATACTGTGAGCATATAGGTGTTGCCCAGCTCGCCTGTGCTGATATCTCCATCAACTTCTGGTATGGCTTTTGTGTTCCCATCATGACGGTCATCTCAGATGTGATTCTCATTGCTGTTTCCTACGCACACATCCTCTGTGCTGTCTTTGGCCTTCCCTCCCAAGATGCCTGCCAGAAAGCCCTCGGCACTTGTGGTTCTCATGTCTGTGTCATCCTCATGTTTTATACACCTGCCTTTTTCTCCATCCTCGCCCATCGCTTTGGACACAATGTCTCTCGCACCTTCCACATCATGTTTGCCAATCTCTACATTGTTATCCCACCTGCACTCAACCCCATGGTTTACGGAGTGAAGACCAAGCAGATCAGAGATAAGGTTATACTTTTGTTTTCTAAGGGTACAGGATGATGTTTTACTAGGATAAGTTTATAGTGTACAGAAATGTAGAAAGAGTGAAATGGCAAATGCTCTTTAAAGCAAGAACTACCTGAAACTGCTTTCATGTGCCAAGAATGTGGCATGATCTGTATGACAATGATGGTCATATGTATAAAAAAAATCCTTGATGACCTCTTTGCTTGTGAAATAGGGGGCTGTACAGAATATGATCAGGAAGAAGGAGATGAAAACACAGAGCAAAATTACTCTAAATTGAAAAAGAGATAAAAATTTGGAAATTGAGATTTGCAGCTATTATAAGTGAGTTTGTTAAGTAAAACAGAAACACTGAGGAAGAGGGAATAAAAGTAAAAAGATCAGTGAGAAATTTCTCAGTGAGAGGATTACCAGATGGATATTTAGGACATTAATGATAACATTTGATTCTAATTATCTTCCTTTTATGTTTCACTGTAATTCCCTTTAAATGTTTCCTCCCTATGCACACACAATATGAAAAATTGAAGAGCCTTCAGTACAAGCCTGCTAAAATAATGTTATATCAGCAGTGCTATGAAGGGAATGAGTGAATTAGCATATTGATCAATGAATGGTAGGGTTGCTGGCTTTGGTGCTGGGAGAGGAGAGTTGCTTCTAGGCCCCAAGATGCATTGAGAAAGTGAGCTGCAGTGGTAGTACTGGGAGAACATAACCCCTCAAAATAGTTGGAGATTTGAGTCAAGAGCTGGACTTCTCACAGTACACAGATTAGACTTCTGTACATTTAGAAACTAAAGTAATAATGTAACCATACTAGTTAGAGGATCTGTGGAACACTGTTCTATATACTGCAGTTCCTTGATTGCAAGACACATTTTTACAGTGAGGAGAGGGAATGAGGGTGGGAAAACTACAATAAAGTAACACATCCATGGAAAAACGCATCCAAATTTTGTAAGCATTGGAACTGAGAAAATACTATATGTTGAGATCAAAGAAGGAAATTAGAAGCATAATCATAAACTGTTATTAAATGTAGAGTTGATCTATCCCAGTGGTTTCCGAGGTAATCCTAAAGAGCTGGACTCTGAGAGGTTGCTTTAAGGTGCATCTCAAGGCTTATGTGAAGGAAGTTTCTTGTCTTATTTTTCCACAATCACAGCAGATCTGATATTATCTAGTTTTGCTTGTGTATCAAGCACTTAGGTAAGATTCTACTTGAACAATAAAGTTTCTCCAATAAATCCTGTTTTGAAAATCATCCATTCTTTGGCTGTTATTAAAATGTGAAAAGAAAAACAGGTGCTGGTGAGGTTATGGAGAAAAAGGAACACTTATACACTGAGAGTGGGAGTGTAAATTAGTTCAACCATTGTAGAAGACAGTGTGGCAATTTCTCAAAGACCTAAAGACAGAAATATCATTTGACCCAACAATCCCATTACTGGGTATATACAAAGGAATATAAATGGTTCTATTATAAAGACACATGCATGCATATGTTCATTGCATCAATATTTACAATAGCAAAGACATGGAATCAACCCAAATGCCCATCAATGTTACACTGGATAAAAAAACGTGGTACATATACACCATGGAACACTATGCAGCCATAAAAAACAATGAGATCATGTCCTTTGCAGGAACATGGATGGAGCTGGAGGCCATTATCCTTAGCAAACTAACACAGGAACAGAAAACCAAATACTGTATGTTCTTACTTATAAGTAGGAACTAAATAATGAGAACACATGGACACATAGAGGGGAACAACACATACTGGGGCCTATCAGAGGGTAGAGGATGAGAGAAGGGAGAGGATTAGGAAAAATAACTAATGGGTACTAGGCTTAATATCTGGATGATGAAATAATCTGTACAACAAACCCCCATGACACAAGTTTACCTACGTAACAAACCTGCACATGCATCCTAGAACTTAAAAGCAAAAGTAAAATTATAAAAAAGAAAATCATCCATTCATTTGGAAACTATTTATTGAGGACCTTCTGTATTTTAGATAGTGTTCTAAGCATTTGGGATTATGAGGCGTCTCTGCCTTGCTTCCATGGATTTTATATTCTTGGGAGAGTGATAAGCAATAAAACAAAGAAATTAGTTCATTGCTTAAAAATATTAATATAATAAATGAAAAAAATAAAGTTGAATAAGATGATGGACTAAAACTGGCCTGGAGGACAATGGCAGAGAGGACAGCAAATGAAAATACTCTCGGGCTGAAAAGAGCTTGACATGAATTGAGGATAGAAACAAGGCCAGAGCGGCTGCAGCAGAGTGGATCCAGGGAGGGGATAGGGCATGAGGGATGGGGAGGGGTAGGGCCAGATCCTGTGGAACTGAAACTATCCAAATCTCATTCTCAGAAGAGGAAACTGAAGATCAAAAAGTATAAATAACTTTTCCAAGGCACACAGCAAGGAAGTTATTAATATGGAGCTAGAATACAATCTGCTAACTCCCAGTTCAGTGATATTCTCATTAAACACGGCCTCATGCTTATGAAAATAGACTCCAAAGGAAGGGAAAAAAATCTGGGAAGATCAGAGCCTACTTTTATGGTTTTTATAATCTCTAGTTCTTTTTTAAAGTTTTAATTAATTTACATTTCAGTTATTTTTAAATTTTTAATTGACAAACATAAATTGTATATATTATGGGGTCACATGTGACGTGATTATACATGTATACATTGTGGAATGATTAAATCAGGCTAATTAAGTTATTCATCACCTTATATACTTATTTCTTTATGGTAAGAACATTTAACATCTATTCTTTTAGAAATTTTGAAGTATTCAATACATTATTATTAACTATAGCCACCATAGGGTACAATAGATCACTAGAACATATTCCTCTAGTCTAACTGAAAATTTGAACACTGACTAATATCTTCCCTTTTCCTGTCCACTCCCCAGTCTGGTAACCACCATTGTACCATCTACTTCAATGTGAACTCTAGTTACTTAAAATTAAGCCACATCTGACTGTATGAGAGTTCTGCTCTCTGTGCCAATTTACAAAAGTGCCCACAGATACCAGAAGATTTTCTAGTATTCTGTTATTCTCTTCTGGTTATTACCATGTTGCTGAGAACACGGATTGACCAAGATATAATATTTTTTAAGTTTATGGAAGGAATAATAAATTGATACAGAGTTGAGATAATTTAAAAGTACACACTCCTTTCATCCTGGTAGGTGTTGAAACCCATGATTATTCACTAATACACATGAATGGCTCTCATGAAAGACAAATAGCCCAAGAAACCCCAGTGAAAAAGAAACTGATGTCTATATAGTCTCCTATTCCTCCTTCCACCCTCTATCTCTGGCTCAATCATCTGCTGTTATTTTTCTACCCTCTTCCCCAGGAGGATTCATTTATTTCTATGACTATATAAACTTTTTGCTTGTTATGCTATACTTTAGTTTTTATATGTGATCTTTCTCAGCTCATAGGATGACTAGGATTAAGAAATGTAGATAAATGTGCTTTGCAGATTGCAAAATGCTATTTTAATATTAGCTGCTACGTTAGTATTTTTTTGTTTGTATAAATTCAAAAGGTACAAGTGCACTTTTATTACATGGACATATTGCATAGTGGTGAAGTACGGGCTTTTAGTGTATCCATAAATTCTAATAATATTAATTCTTCTGATCCATGAGCATGGGTTATTTTTTCATTTGTTTGTGTCATCTACAATTTCTTTCATCAGTGCTTTGTAGTTCCTCTTGTAGAGATATTTAACCTCCTTGGTTAAATGTATTCCTAGGCATGTTTTTTGGTAGTTAGTGTAAGTGAGATTGCCTTCTTGATTTGATTCTCTGCTTTATTGTTATTGGTATATAGAAATGCTACTGATTATTGTATGTTGGTTTGTATCTTGAAACTTTACTGAATTCATTTATTAAATCTAGAGTTTTTTGACAGAATTTTGGGGTTTTCTATATATAAAATCGTGTTGTTAGCATAAAGAGATAATTTGACTTCTTCCTTTCTGATTTGGATGGCTTTTATTTCTTTCTCCTGCCTGATTTTTCTGCCTATGACTTCCAGTACTATGTTGAATAGGAGTAGTAAAAATTGGCATCCTTGTCTTGTTCCAGTTCTTAGAGGGAATGCTTTAAAATTTTCTCTGTTCGGTATGTGGTTGGCTATGGGTTTCTCATATGTGCCCTTTATTATTTTGAGGTAAGTATCTCTAATGAACATAGACACAAAAATCCTCACGCAAATACTAGCAAAATGAATCCAACAGCACATCAAAAACAAAACATCGTGACCAAGTGGGTTCTATTCCTGGGGTGCAATGATGTTTCAACATACACAAAATGATAAAGGTGATTCATTACATAAACAGAATTAAGGACAGAACAATAGATGTAGAAAAAGCATTTGATAAAATTTAGCATCCCTTCACAATAAAAAAAAAACCCTTAACAAGCTAGGTATAAGAACATACTTCACAATAATATGTTAGTGTCTTTACTAATTAGTGCTGTCATTCTCACCTCAGACCCATTGTGTTTAAACCTGAGCTTATCAGTTTGTCATTTAAAATCCTCCCACATTTTTATGGTTTATAGGAGTAGAAAACAGGTTAGGCTCAGTTTTGCTTCCCACAAGTTCACATTTACCACCCTAGGTGACAATTATTCTTTCTGGTCAGGAAGGTTGCAAGTTTTCCATCCCATTCTTAGACCATGAATGAAATTACAAGTTCTGGTTTGGACTAAAACATAGTAATTATCTAAAAATCAGTAGGTAACTTTACAACACACAAATGATCTTATCCTATATATCTTCCCTTTGTGCAAATTCCCAATTTCTTACACTGGAGACTCCATCCGTAGGGGAATTGTGACTTACTTTATCTTCTCACCCACAGAATCTAGTATGGTATTCTACAAATTGTAAGAATCAATGAACAAGTTCCTAACATCTTCTCTTCTAGACTTTCCACATCTAACCATTCTTTAGATATTTATTATTCCATTTCAGTAGCCCCTGGGATTTTAGTCCTACTCACCCCTCAGTCCCATTTGCCCTTATGTTAACCCAGATACCTGCAACTTGTATCTAGGCCAAATATTGAATATATGCTTTTTTTTTTTTTTTTTTTAAGACGGAGTCTCGCTTTGTTGTCCAGGCTGGAGTGCAGTGGCGCGATCTCAGCTCACTGCAACCTCCGCCTCCCAGGTTAACACCATTCTCCTGCCTCAGCCTCCCAAGTAGCTGGGACTACAGGTGCCCGCCACCATGCCCAGCTAATTTTTTTGTATTTTTAGTAAAGACGGGGTTTCACCATGTTAGCCAGGATGGTCTTGATCTCCTGACCATATGCTTTATGTTATATATCAATGACAATAGAGGTAACTTCTGTGTTCAGAAGAATAATGTGAGGCTTACAAAGAATCAACAAAATCAAAATTTGGTTATTTGGAGGATAAACAAGATTAATAGACTGTTAGCTAGATTTAAAAAGAAAAAAAGAGAGATTCAAATAAACATAACCAGAAACAAAAGTGGCGTTATAACCAATCCCATAGAAATACAAAAGTTCCTCAGAGACTCTTATGAACACCTCCACACACACAAACTAGAAAATCTAGAGGAAATGGATAAGTTTCCTGGAAACACACCATCTCTCAAGATTGAATCAGGAAGTAGTTGAAACACTGAACCAACCAATGTCAAGTTGCAAAATTGAATCAGTGATTAAAAAACACCCTACCGACCAAGAAAAGCCCTAGGCCAGATGGATTTATAGCCAAATTCTACCAGACATACAATGGAGAGCTGATATTTATTCAACTGGAACTATTCCAAAAAATCAAGAAGATACACCTTTCTGACTAATTCTATGAAGCCACATTTCCTTGATACCAAAACCTGGCAAAGATACAACAACAACAAAAAACTGTGGGCCTATATCCCTGATTAACATAGATGCAAAAATCCTCAACAAAATATTAGCAAGTGAAAACCAGTACTACATCAAGAATTTCATTCACCATGATCAAGTACACTTAATTCCTGGGATGCAAGGTTGCTTCAGCATATGCAAATCAATCATATGCCTAAACATATGACATAAACAGAATTAAAACCAAAAATTGTATAGTCATCTCAATAGATGCAGAAATAGCTTTCGACAAAATCCAACATTTCTCCATGATAAAAACCCTTGAGAAACTAGGCATTGAAGGAATATACCTCAAAATGACAGAGCCATCTAAGACAAACCCACAGCCAACATCATACTGAACAGAAAAAAGCTGGAAGCATTTTCCTGGGGATCTAGAGCAAGAAGAAGAATGCTACTCTGACCGCTTCTATTCAACATAGTACTGGAAGTCTTAGCCAGAGCAATTAGGCAAGAGAAAAAAATAAAGGCATCCAAAGAGAAAAAAAAAAAGTCAAACTATCTCTCCTTGATGATATGTGTTTTTTTTTTTAATCTAGAAAACCCCAAAGACTACACCAAAAGGATCCTGGAACTGATAAATAACATCTTAAAGTTTCAGAATACAAAATTAATGTGCAAAAATCAGTAGCATTTCTACATACTGATAATGTCCAAGCTGACAGCCAAAGCAAGAACACAATCCCATTTATATTAGCCACACGTGCACACACACACACACACACACACACACACACACACCTAGAAATACAACCAATGAAGGAGTTGAAAGATCTTTAAAAGAACAACTACAAGGCTGGGCGTGGTGGCTCACGCCTGTAATCCCAGCACTTTGTGAGGCTGAGGCGGGTGGATCACCAGGTCAGGAGATCGAGACCATCCTGGCTGCAGAGATGGTGAAACCCCGTCTCTACTAAAAATACAAAAACGAAATTAGCCAGGCGTGGTGGTGGGCGCCTGTAGTACCAGCTACTCGGGAGGCTGAGGCAGGAGAATTGCGTGAACCCGGGAGGTGGAGCTTGCAGTGAGCAGCGATCATGCCACTGCGCTCCAGCCTGGGTGACAGAGTGAGACTCTGTCTCAAAAAAAAAAAAAAAAAAAAAGAAGAACTACAAACAGTGCTGAAAGAAAGCACAGACGATACAAACAAATCGAAAAACATTCCATGCTCATGGATTGAAAGAATCAATATTGTTAAAATGGTCATACTGACCAAAGCAAAATACAGAATTGATGATATTTCTATCAAATTACTAATTTAATTTTTCACAGAATTAGAAAAAACTCTTCTGAAATTCATGTGGCACTAAAAAAAAGCCTGAATAGTCAAATCAATCCTAAGGAGAAAGAACAAATCTGGAGACATCACATTATTTTACTTCAAACTATACTATAAGGCTACAGTAACAAAACCAGCATTGTATTGGTATAAAAACAGACACATAGACCAATGGAACAGAATAGAGAAACCAGAAATAGTGCCACATATCTACAGTCATCTGATCTTCAACAAGTTGACAAAAATAAGTAACAGGAAAAAGACACCCTATTTAATAAGTGGTGCTGGGATAACTGGCTAGCCATATGCAGAAGAATGAAACTGGAACCCTACATTTTACTATATACAAAAATTAAGTCAAGATGAATTTAAAAGTTAAATGTAAGACCTCAAACTATAAGAATCCTAAAAGAGTACATAGAAAACACCATCTGGACATGGGCCTTGGGAAAGAATTTATGACTAAGTCCTCAAAAACAATTGCAACAAAACCCAGAATTGACAAATAGGACCTAATTATGCCAAATAGATTATTCACAGTAAAAGAAACTGTCAATAGTGCAAACAAACAGCCTGGGAGAAAATATTTGAAACAATGCATCTGACCAAAGTCTAACATCCAGGTTGTATAAGAAACTTAAACAATTGAACAAGCATAAACTCAAAACACTCCATTAAAAATGGGCAAAAGATATGAACAGGCATTTCCAAAAAGAAGATATATGAGTGTCCAGCAAACATATGAAAAAATGCTTATCATAATTAATCACTACAGAGTTGCAAAAAAATTCAAGCCTTGCTTTTACTATTATATTTGAAAGACATAGAAAGCTTTCAATAAGTATAACCAGTATAAGAAAACATAGAAAATAATTAAAGTATTCCCCAAAATTGCATACATTGTTCTTTGAAAGTGTGCATATGGGCGATTAATGTAGAGGACTTAGATTTTATATTAGACACATGAGATTTTGTCATTCTGCAATTATAGTTAAACAAAAAAGTTTTAAGTAAAATAGTGAAAGCCTTATCTTAAAAGTCTAGACACACAGGTGGAAGAATACAGTTTATGTCAACCTTTAAAATTATGTCAAGTGAACTTGCATCCTGCTTGTTAATTTATCTAATTCAGGTTGTACTGATGACAATGCTACTTGCAGGCAATAATTTATAATTTATAATTAAACTATTTTTGTGTGTGTTTGTGTTAGCTTTTGCTTTTCTAATGTTTGTAGTAGGATAACTTGTCTCCCAAAGGTCTGTTAATAGGAATAAAAGAAATGATTTTAGAGACATTTTGTCATTTTCAAGACAATTATTTTTATATTTTTTAAAAAATTAGCCAAGCAGGCTATATTTTTAAAATTTTTCTTCAATGCTTAATTAGTGGCCAGTTTCAACAATTTATCCTATACATTTATAGTTAAATTTAATTCATTTTTTCTTTTCTTTTTTCTTTTCTTTTCTCTTATTTATTTATTTTTTTGAGATGGAGTCTCGCTCTGTCGCCCAGGCTGGAGTGCAGTGGCATAATCTCAGCTCACTGCAACCTCCCCCTCCCGGGTTCAAGCGATTGGCTGTCTCATTCCCCTGAGTACCTGGGATTACAGGCGCACACCACCACACCTGGTTAACTTTTCTATTTTTAGTAGAGACAGGGTTTCACTATGTTGGCCAGGCTGGTCTCGAACTCCTGACCTCAAGTGATCCACCCACCTCAGCCTCCCAAAGTGCTGGGATTACAGGCATGAGCCACCATGCCTGGCCAAACTCATTTTTTTTTCTTCAGTGAAAAATTAGATTCTGAATTCATGAACTTCCTATGTGTGGATTTTTTTGGATAGGAAATAAAATTCAAACATTCTGTTAAATTAGCAAGGGGTATAGTGATAACTTTTTACAGATATGTAATATAAGCTCATCGATTATTTTATTGAAAATTTTTATTATAAAAATATGTTAATTGTTCTATACAAATTCTGTTCTTCCAAACTTCTAACTTCAATATGTGCCTCTAAAACTTACTTACTGTGAAAGAACATGTTACATGACATATTAAGAATATTGAAAATAACAAAGATAGCCAGGTAAGAAAATCTGGCAGAACCAAACAGGTTTCTGATTCTGCAGAAACACTAAAAGTTCATCCCACAGGGCAAACATCTCAATAGAAACGTTCACCTTCATAGCTATTGCTCCTCATCAGGCGGCAACTCCTTGTTTCTGATCAGTTTCCATGTTACCACACAATAAAGAGAATAATCTAGTATTTACCACATTAAGCTAGTTATAATCCCATTCTTATTACAGCACTAAATATATTATTCAGTTTAATTGTCTTTTTTTTCCCTTGAAAACCTTTTGATTTACATTCTGTGTAAGTTCTTTAATTTTGCAAACTAGCTCTTTCACTTTTGCTAAGTAATATTTACCTGTCTGTTACTATTCCACCAGAACATGCTTTTACACCAAACTTAAACCCTAAACTGTGTTTGTTGATATTGTATTTTTCACAATTTTATGTAAGGTTAAGAGTTAGGTTTGTCATCAAGAAAGTCGAAAAAATAATTCTTCCTTCACATCACTGTCATGTTCTAATCACACATTTAAAAAATAATTATCACGTTAGCAATGTCTGTGTATTCATCAAGTTGCAATGAAAAACACTTTGTGAGCTTTATTTGTTCTGTGAGTTGGACTTCCTTATCATTAACTAGTTTCTAAATATGCAAAGTTATGTTGTTGGAAAATGGGCAACCTGTTCTGGGTAGAGGCTACCAGTAACAAGAGGGAGTGAATGCTGGATTCCTCACTGAGGAAGGCCAGAACTAAGTCATGACATTTGAACAGTGGGCTGGTTGTTGTTTATTGGGCCACACCATAATTACCACTTGGAAAAGCTCAATATGAGAGGGGGTTAATGTACTATTCTGGAATATCAAAACACATGACCACGACTTTATAATAATATGTTTGTTGTTGCTTTTCATAAGTTGTGAATTTGTTCTGTGATTGTATACAAAGAAGTTCATTCAAACTAAGGACTAAAAACAAACATAAACCATGGGTGATTGTGAAAGAGGTGCCATTACTACATTCTACTATATTGCCCTAAATGGGAGAGTGTGCATTTTTTTGAGGAAGGGAAGGTATTGTGAAAACAGTAATGTGTATAAGGGAGAAACAGTTTCTCTGTGTGGCTCCAGCAGGCATCTCAGATAGGCAGAGTGTGTCTTCTAACTGACTCTAAGTCACTTACCTTGTATAATGTTGTGTCAATTCTACTGAGCTCAAGGGACCCCAATAGGTGCTTTATGAATGTTACACTAATCTTTACAGCCGCTTTTTGGGGAAGATAGCCTAATCTTCATTGTACAGGGAAAAAACTCAGTGTAGAAGAGTTAAGGAGAGTGCTCAAGAGGGCTCTTCTGCACTGAGTTTTGTCCCTGTAAAAAACACAGTAGCGCAGCATTATTCAAAAGTCTACACTCTTTCCACCAAGCTGCTTTGCCTCTTTATACAGCTAAGAGGCAGAAACAATATTAAAGAATGACAGCTGTCAATTTCCGGATGGTGACTTGGTTTGTCATTTGTTTACAACAAAGCACTTGTATATTTGAGTTTGCTGCTGCCCCATCCAGTGGTTCTGCAAAGACCTCGCTGATCGGTCTCCACTTTTCCCCAGGTCCTGAGAATGCCAGGCATGTAAATCTGGAGTCCAGAAAAATCCATAGAGATGTAACTTCAACTGTCTGCTAATTCCTCATTAACAGTTCACAGCTGAGACTAGCAGATCATCAATCTGCCTGGGGCTCAGAGTCCATCCCCTCTGAAGTGCTCACAGAAGAGACCCATAAATTCTTCTCACCCATATTTGCCTTCTCTCAGCCTTTCCAAAGGAGCATCTTGGAGTGCCTTAGTTCCCAGGTGCTCTATTAGCTGAATGGCGATGTTGAGGCAGTAGGGACTGAAGCAGGATTGGATGGATGGAGACGGGATGCTCATTCCTCGTTTTTAATCTCACCTCCAACAGCAGAGAGGTGAGAAGCCCCTGTCCCAGCAGCAACAGGAATTCCTCAGCCAAGACCAGTTACACCCTAAACACAGTTTGGGGCTTCTGCAAAGTCTCTTCAGCTAACCCCACTGGATTTGTTCCACATTGAGCCAAACACTGAAGGTTAAACGTGCCAAAACCCCAGGAAATGTCCCAGGAAACCTCTCTGAACTGATGAAAATGAGTTTCTCAGACTTTTTTTCAGAGAGCAACTTTGGAGTGCAAAAGAGAGCATGTAGTTGAGGACGAGTGCAGAAATTAAGCTTGAGAACTGGGGCTGAGGTGTCACCTCTCCCTCATCCCAGGTCAGAGTGATGTAGAAAGCTGGGGCTTGGGAACAATGACACCATATTTCCCATTTCATTTAGAAGTAGTCTTTTAACCAGACTAATTCCTGTGGCTCTATTGGCAAAGAAAGTTCTTTTTTTGATCAAACTGAATCTTTCATCTTGCCTTTCAACCATTTTTTTGAAGTTGGGACTATTCTGCTTCCAAATATTCTAATTCAGTTCCCAAATCATCTTAAAAAAATTAAGATATATTAAAAGACTAAGGCCGAGTGCAGGGGCTCATGCCTGTAACCCTAGCACTTTGGGAGGCCGAGGCGGAGGGATCACTTGAGGTCAGGAGTTCGAGACCAGCGTGGTCAATGTGATGAAACCCCACCTCTATTAAAAACACAAAAATTAGCTGGGCCTGTGACGGGCATCTGTAATCCCAGCTACTTGGGAGGCTGAGGTAGGAGAATTGCTCGAACCTGGGAAGCAGAGGTTGCAGTGAGCCAAGATTGCGCCACTGCACTTCAGCCTGGGCAACAGAGCAAGACTCTGTCTCAGAAAAAAAAAAAAAAAAAAAAAGAGACTATCAGATTATGAAACTGAGAATTAAGAATGCAGTGGAAGGAGGCTTTAAAGGGACGAATTCAAGGAGTGATAGAACACTGCTAATGATAATAATGATAACATTTAATGTGCTGGACATTTACTGTGTTACAGGCACTGTTGTGTCCTATGTAATTGTTTTACATATGTCATTTTATTTAATCCTTACAATGTTCCATATAAAGCAGATGCATTTGTTTTTATACCAAATTTAGAGATAAGGAGATTGAGGCACAAAGAAGTTGAGAATTTTGTCCAAAGTCGCACAGTTTATATGTGGCAGATCTAGGATTTGAACCTAGATGATCTGACTTTAGAGTCTGCCCTGGATTTTACGCCTGTGCTGAAGTGGGAATAAACAGGAATAGGAAAAAATGTAGCATTTTGCTGTTTCCCTTTCACCTCTATCTTCCAAAATCAGGGTAACGACCATGTATTCTGATTAAACGATGGTTCTAAGTTGTTAATTTATCCATCCCATATCACACAGCACCACCTACACTGAACATAGGGTGTTCAAATTCATTTCTTGAACTGATACTATGGCCCTTTTTTTTTCTCTAGAGCATCCATCTGCACTTAATATGTATCTTGATGTTCTTCTCTAACCTGGAGGGGATGCCTTGTCCCTCAAGCCTCTTAGACAAATTGTAGTATGTGAACCCCTCTTAGCAGAATGGGCCCTAGGAGCCAGGGTCACCCTGAGAAGGATCAACAGAACAAAGATGAGGGAGGTGGTGACCTCAGTGTGAGCTCTAGCCTGGAACCCTATGGGGGAGCTCTACCCTGGAATCCTATGGTAACAGTCTCAGTCTGAAGGTGGTTTGTGCAGGTCTCTGCACCACTGAGGCCCCTAGGAGCATGCGTGTATGAATAAAGTCAGGACAAGCACACCCTTAGAGTAGGAATGGAAACCCAGAAAGAAATGGAGCTTTAGAATCTGGGTGAGTGGCACAGGCAGCTCCTTCCAGCAAGAAGAAAACTACTGTCAATGAAACAGGAATTAAAAGAAATTAAAGAATGTGTAAGCAAAAACCCAGTTGTATGTAAGAAAACCCAATTCCCCCTGAGGAAGAGAAAGAGCTGAAGTCCCTTAAAAAGTAACTGCCTGTTTTTCTGTGGCTAGTGAGCCTTATCTCTCCCTTTCCCAGGCATTGTGAAGACCCTGTTTCTCTAGCTGTGCAGCTGCAAGGACACTAGGCAGATAAACTCAAGTCGTAAGACATGTTTTTCCTTGAAAAGTAACAAATGATGTAATGCATGTCTCAACTGAATAACTATTTTTGTTTTTTGCTTCTATAATATGCTTCCCCCTGCACAGATCTCCCCCTGCCCCAAAAAATGCTTAAAAGGTAACCAGACTCTTTGTTCGGGACTCAGTCTTTTTGGATGTTAATCTGACTGGGCTGGTGCACCTAAATAATAAATAATAAGTATCCTCCTCAACCCCTCGGTCTCTCTGATTCCTAAATTATCCTGCTGCATCAAGAGAGGAACAACGCTAAGAATGCGGGAGAAGAAACAATCTCGGACTAGCATTCAGAAAATCTGGTTCCTAACCCCAGATCTATGTAACATTTTCCTTTTTACACATGGGTTTCCTGATCCTAGAAAGAAGCACAAGATAGTGTAATGTCTCTGCAGTAGCATCACCCCCAATAAGATGCTCCAGAACTCTGAGCCACATCCAGCCCAGAGCCAGGCCAGTGCATGGAAACTCAGGCAGAATAGAGATGCCACTTTACTTCTCCCTCTGCATGTCCTTTGCTAAACTCTCAACTTGCAGAAGAAGCTGAGCTGATGTGGCTAGGATATGGGGCCAGGGGCTGGGAAGACGAGAGAGCAGAACACGCAGGTGGCAGATGAGAAGGGTGCAGTTATTCCTGCTAAGAACAAGATACAGGGCAGAGGCTGAGGTGGGAGAGTCCGGGTGCAAAGGGATCCTCAGCTTCCTCTTCCTACCCTTTATGTAGCTTATGGGAGGAAATGGAAAGAGAAATATTTGTTGTGGACATGGATGATCTGGGGGAGTTGTCCCTGAAACTTGTTCAAGAGGTAGTGTGCTAGTAAAGCCCACAACTTGAGTACAAGAATTTCTTGTGTTTCTTAAGTGTCTTCTTAAGGTACGTGTTGTGCATGCCCTGTGGTTTTGGGAGAGACGTTCCCAGATCCTGAGACAGTTGACACCCTTCTTGCATTGTAAAGACTAGGCCTGCCTTGTGGTAAGTTGGGCCCTGGCAGGATGTTCCCAGGGTCCAGAGAAGCCATTAGGGCCCCATTTTGAGGGGGGTAGGGTCAAGCTCTGCAACTTGACAAAGCCTCATCCTTCAGAAGGAAGTTCTGGCTCCTAAGGCAATATGACTCCCATGTGAGAAAGTCTGGTTTGCTTTTTTTTTTTTTTTTTCTTTTTTGAGATGGAGTCTTGCTCTGTCACCCAGGTTGGAGTGCAGTGGTGCGATCTTGGCTCACTGCAACCTCTGCCTTCCGGGTTCAAGCGATTCTCCTGCCTCAGCCTCCTGAGTAGCTGGGATTACAGGCATGTGCCACCCCACCCGACTAATTTCTTGTGTGTGTAATTTTAGTAGAGACGGGGTTTCACCACGTTGGTCAGGCTGGTCTCGAACTCCTGACCTTACGATCCGCCCACCTCGGCCTCCCAAAGTGCTGGGATTACAGGTGTGAGCCACTGCACCTGGCCTGGTCTGCTTTATTGCCTGTCTCTGCCCTGCAGGAGTCAGGGTGTGGGGATGTGAGAGAAGCTCCAGGAGGCAGTGCTGCCGAGGGGGCTGCATGGGAAGCTTGAGATCTCACGCAGGGCCAGACATTCTAGTTTCTGCTCACCTGCCGGGTTCCTCAGTCTCCAGGACAGGTTAGGATATCAGGTTCTATCTCTCACCAGGTTCAGGGAGACAACTCTGGTCCTCAGGTGGAGCATGGAAAGCCCACCTTAGCTTAGAGCTTTCTTTCAGGCTGTTATTTGTCCACTTAAATCCAGGTAAGCAAAGTGTTCCCTTGCCTCCTCCCGTTACCACTTTCACTGGACCATCAGTTGCACTGTCACCATGGTATCTAATCCCAGTCCCTTGCACTGCAGCCCCGCCCTGATGCTCCTCTACGTCCTTAGTGGCCTCGGATTTTCTCAGACTGAGTTCCATAGAACCCAACATATATTTTTCTTCTTTTTTTAACTTTTAAAATTCAGGGGTGCAAGTGTAAGTTTGTTACATAGGTAAACTTGTGTCATGGGTTTTGTTGTGCAGATCATTTCATCACCCAGCTATTAAGCCTAGTACCCATTAGTTATTTTTCCTGATCCCTCCCTCCTCCCACCCTTCACCCTCTAAAAGGCCCCAGTGTGGGGAACCCAACGTATCTTCTCATGGAAAAAGGGTGGAGGAAAGAAGAACCACAAAGTTGAGTCAAGGGATGGATAATCATACTGGTTATAGAACAAATTAAGTTCCATCAACCAGATGCCTAGAGCTCTTGTGGACCAGAGCTGGAGAAAGAGGTGTCAGAAGCCATGAGCAGATGGAAAAATGTACTAGACAGACTGGGAGGAATGAAATGTTTTGGAGAGTTTGGGGTCTGAGCTTAAAAAGTGGCTTCTGGAAATGGATCATGAAACAGGAGCTTTGAGCATCTGTCAGTGAATGGAGTAGAAAATAGCCATTCTATTAATATGTTTCCTTCCTCCTGGCTTACATATTTCCTAGGGTGGAGGGAACACAGAGGCTGTACTGTAGTTGGAAGGATTTGGTGTAGAGAACACGAATTACTTCCTCTGGCACAAGTGATTAGTAAAAACATACCCCAATGTCTCCTTGTGCCTGGGCTGATGAAGGGACATTATATCCAGAGGAGAGGGCTGTTAGAAGAGTATGGCCTTTAGTCAGATGAATTTAGATTCAAATCCTAGCTCTTTTGTTTACCAGCTGTGTGACCTAGAGTAAGTTTATTAACCTCTCAGGAACAAAATTCTTTGATCTGTCATATGGCAATGTTAGCAAACAAACTAGACTGTTAGGGAATTCATAGTTCACTATATGCTGAATCCTCAGAAAAGTGCCTCCCACAGAGAGGGCATTTGGCAAATGCTCTAGCATCCTAAGCCCTAGCATCACCCTCACTCATCTAAAATCTCTGTACAATTGCTGGTTGCCTCTCACAGGCCCCATTTGTATCCTGCAGGGACACAGCCAGATGGAGGCAGGAGATGGGGCTGGATCCTGCACTGCCAGCTTTCAGTCAGAACTTGCTGATCTCTGGGTCTGGGTCCTTTGTCCTGCTGGGGATGCCGGGACTGGAGGCTCTGCATGCCTGGCTCTCTGTGCTTGTGTGCCTGCTCTACATGGCAGCTTTGGTAGGGAATGCCCTTCTAGTGGGGCTGGTGGTCACTGACAAGGCACTCTGGGCACCCATGTACCAGCTGCTGTGGCTTCTGGCAGCTGCTGATTTTGTTCTGGCCACATCCACAGTGCCCAAAGCTCTGGCTGTACTTTGGGGCTTGTCTAGTGAGATATCATTTGGAGGCTGCTTGGCTCAACTCTTTGTTGCCCATGTGTCAATCATTGCCACATTGCTGAGTCCTCAGTGCTGCTGTCCACGGCCGTAGACTGCCAGCCTTTGCGCTATGGGGCGTTGCTGGCCCAGTTTGTGGTAGGTCTAGTGGCTCTGACTACCATGACCCGTGATGTCTGTGTCATGTACACCCTGTGATCCTGTTCAAGAAACTGCCTTACTGTGGACAGTGGGCCCTGCCCCACACCTACTGCGAACACATGGGTGTGGCTTGCCTGGCATGTGGAGATACGTGCCCCATCATCAGGTATGGACTGGCCACCACACTGCTCTCCCCAGCCCTGGACCTAGGGCTCATAGGTGCTTCCTATGCCCTCATTTTCCGTGCTGTCTGCCGTCTGCCATCCCATGTTGCCTGCCACAAGGCTCTGGGTAACTGCGGGACCTATGCTAGCATCATTGGTCTCTTCTACACACCTGCCCTCTTCTCCTTCCTTGCTCACTGTTTTGGGTGTCACACAGTGCCCAACCATATTCACATCCTACTGGCTAACCTCTACGCAGTGGTGTTCCCAGCTTTCAATCCTGTGGTCTATGGAGTGCAGACTCAGCAGAGCTCAGAGGCTCAGGAACTTGCTTCAACTTTTCTGGGCAGGAGCAGTGAAGAAGGTTGGCCCTGAGAGGGCCTCCCCACAGGAATAAATGTGATCCCTATTTTCTTCAGCGTGCCTGCCCAGATGACCAAGTGATGCTGCAGGACCCATCTGGGTAGAGCTCTGACTAAAGCATCTCCATTGTCTGCCGTCAGGTGGCCCTATGCTCACTCCAGCCCTATTTTATCACCCATTATGTAGGCAGAATATACTGAACTGACCTCTCTCTGCCCAGCTCTACAGTGCCCACTCTATGCCTGATGTTTCTAAGTCTGTATTGATCCCCATAGAGGGATTACACACGTATAGAAGTGGTTGGTCCTAGACTGTGACAGTCTAGGAGGTCTAGGACACGTCCTGAGGACTAGGATCTTATCTTTTCTCCATCAGTTTATCCAGCCAAAACAAGATGAATGAAACATGTCTCTGAGTTGGGTCCCTTGTACAATGTCTGACACTAAGCAGGAACTCTATTTGCTAAGGGGATGAAGTCAGGAGGAGCTGGGGAAATGGCATGATGTGAATAAAATAGAGCACAGCTCTGGAAATGGACATGGTTTCTGACCTTGGTGATAATACCTAGAGCTTGGAAGACCTGTTGGCTTTGGATGGGAAGAGAGTGCACAATACTGTGGCTTCCTCCCTAAGCTCTTTCCCTACGTTAATCAGATACTAAGGCTACTCTTGTGTTTTTCAACTTGTGCTAATGGCTATTTGTAGACGGCAAAATATGGGGACGACAACTCCAGCAGCAGTTGTTATGCTTCATGCTCTATCTTCATGCTCTTTCGTTTTTCCTTTCCTACATTCCTTCTTCCATAAGATGCCTTAGTTCTACTGTCACTCATCTGGATATTGATCCCAGACAGGTTTCTTGCTTCATGCAGCTTAGGTTTCCCAACCTATTCCTCTCTTATCATCCTAACTTCTGTGCTCCTCTGGACCCAATGGCTAAGGCAAGGCCAGGCTAGAGAAGCTAATGAAGAATGGATCTCTGGCCTTGAGCATGGAGTAAGAGGGTGAGAATCTGTAAAGTAAGAAAAGGATATGACCTCTCAGCAAGGATTGTCCAACAAAGCTCTGGGCATGTCTTCCTGGAGTTGTACATCCACAAAACTTCTCAAATCTTTTCCCAGAAGGGAAGTCGCAGTTTCATATACCTTTCTCTACTAGGTATATGCCAGGGCAAGGATTCTAAAGGATGAGATGAGTAAGCAGAGGATCTTTATACTAAGCAGCCTATAATCTAAAGTTAAGGGTCTGTGAAAGATAAAGAAACAATAAAGGATAGAGGTAGTAGAGCTACAGAGACAAAATTCCTCAATGGAAAAATGGGGCAACACACTCTTCATAGGAAATCTGACATTCTCCTAGGCACTTGGGCAAATGTGAGAATCCCCACTGTCTGAGAAATACTCAAGAGAGATAGCAGAAGAAAAGAGAATACTTTTGGGTGGCTGGCACTAAGAGCACTGAGCTTTGCGACTCCTTCTCCAGGCTCAGGAACTACACTCTTCCTTTTCTATAGGGATAACGGCAGTTCAGAGGCCAGAAGACTTGAGGCTCCACAGCATCATGTGGCAGGTTAGGAAATATTGGGAGGGAGCTTTCTTGACGGACAGGCAGTAGAGGCAGCTGGCATTAAGACCAGAGGAACTGGGGGAAGCATTTAAATAGTGGAATGGATGTAATAGTTTACAGTACCTGGCATAGTGCAGGAGGCAAACTCCTCGGGGTGAAGGAAGATATATAACAGAGGAGTCCAGTACAGTGTCGCTGAAGTGATCCCCCCAGATATACACTTTGGCCCTCATCCAAGTGCACCCTGTTAAGTAAATGCTTCTGTTCTTGAGATTGAACAGATAGAATTGCATTTCCTTCTTGAGCCTTCCCTTTGTCAAAGTTGAGGGAAACACCATAATCACTCCTGAAAGGGACCCATCCCAGGGCCCCTGCAGGATGTTTCAGGTTTACCTTAATCTGTTTAGACAAGGGGGCCCAGCAGGGTGGAGGAAGATCTAAGCCTAGGGATGGATGCGGAAGATCTAAGCCTAGGGATGGATGCGGAAGACCCTGTTTATCATAATAAACTCACTACCACCATGTTTAGAGGCACCAGTCTGTCTCAACCCTCTTCTCCACCTTTCCATACCCTCTCCACACCCCCTTCATCCTCTCGGCCCTTTCAAATGTCAAAATGTATATCCCTCCTACTGAGACTATTTACTTACACAGAAATAAAAGCCCAGGGGAGCCCCAAGTACTTACTGCGCTCTTGTAGTTGATGCAAGATGCCACCTGTTGCAGCTCTTCTGACCACTCTACAGCTGCTGCCCCTGGTGCTCCCAGGAAGAGTCTCGGGTACAGGCAGAGGTTGGAGGGATCACAGCAGCAGGTGGAGATTGTTTTGTGCTTTGGGCTGGCTTCCTTCACCACTCTGATTCTGTTCAAGAACCTCCAGGTTTTGGGAGAGAGTGAGGGTAGACAGAAACAGGGAGGAAGAAAAGAAAGATGGGATAGCCTGCATGTTCTGATTTTCCCTTTGCTTGTATGTATGGGTACAGGGGGAGCGAGGAAAGACAAAGGTGAAGGCAATAGAGGAAGGAACTCTGGGCTGTATTCCCTGCTCAGTTATGAGGCACTGTTTTCTGCAATAATCTGCCACCTTCTTCCTGTGCTCAGGGTGTAGGAGCTCATGGTGGCTATAAAAGGCTATGCAATCTTTATTTTATTATCCTTCAAAAGTAAACTATTGGGCTGGAGTTGCAAGCTGAAGGCATAACCAGATTAAGCTATGATGCCAAAGCCAGAAAAGCTATGAGTGAGACATCTCAGAGAAGGACAGGGGCCACAGACATTTTTATTCAAAAAGATTTTGTAAGGAAACCTTAGTGGGTGTTGCATGCACAATAAAAAAATTGGGAAGGAGTCTTGATTGAATCTAGTGCTGGTTTATCCAGCTCCAAAATCGGACTAAGAGATGGATTTAGAGAAATATAACTAATATAAAGACTCTTAACAGAGGCAGGCCAGGCACTGCTCTAAGTACTTTACAAATATTCTATCTATCTATCTATCTATCTATCTATCTATCTATCTATCTATCTGTCTATCTATCTATCATCTATCATCTCTATAACTCTATCTATAATTCTTAAAACAATAAGATAAACACCACATTTTCCCCCATTATACATATTAAGACGATGGGGCACAGAGAAATTAAGTAATTTGCCCAATGTCCCAGAGTCAGGATTAGAACTCAGGAAATATGGCTATGGGATCAGTGGGTTTGGGCTCTGAGTATGGAAGTAATATGATAGGCATATGACAGGGGAGAAGAGATCAAATTATGCATCTCTCTAGAAACTTTCCCTCTCTCTCTATCTAGCTGAGGCAAGGGAGTTGCCTCCCAGCCTTACCCTTTTGTCCTGTGCTGCATGTCTACCCCAACATAACTTGGATCTCTGCTACTTCCTTAGTTGCCAGAGCATAGGATCTAGAACAAAGATGGGACCTGGGGGAAGCTCGAAGCATTGTCACTTATTAGTCATGTAACTTAGCAAAATATTTTTAGACTCTCAGACCCTCATGTTTTTCAACTATAAAATGTGGATTACAATTCACCCTCTGTTATGTCTTGTGAATGCTAAATATCCAACCATACTGGTGCATTATGGTATTGTTACTGCTAATGTTCCTTTGATGAGTTGCAACTCTCTGTCCCTGCTGTCTTCAATACAAGGTAAAGTTGTAGGAATCTGCCAGATCTCTAGAGTGGGGATACTGTAGACAACTGAGGCTTCCTAAGCCTATCCCCTAACACATCTCTGTAGACCAGCTTTGCTCTCTCCCACAGGGCCTTGAAGAAAAATCAGCTTCCAGTAATGTGAACTGCAGCCAGATCCAGCCAGTGCATGAGGTAGGGTGAGGTAGGCCCCATCAGTAGGTTCTGGAAGGGACCCGCAGCTTCAATTCTGGGAAATCAAGAGAAACATAACTCAATCCCCTAACAGAGGGATGCCCTAACAGACAGTCAAGAAGAAACCCCTGGGCAGAGGCAATGCTTCTCTGGCACTCCAAAGTAGGCTCAGCCTCTTCTCTTGCTTCATGTTTGCGAACAGTCCAGGGTGCTCCAACATGCTTCATTATGTTTACTGTGCCTGTGGCCATGGTTTGCAGCTGGTGAGAAGTGTGTCAAGCTCTGTGGATGAAGGAGGCACATGCCATTGTATGGTTCACCTACCCAACAACCCCATCCCCCTGGAGCAGCTGGAACAGCTACAAAGTACAGCTCAGGAGCTCATTTGCAAGTATGAGCAGAAGCTGTCTAGAGTGAGTGCTTGATCTGTGGGCTGGAGCTGGGGCTAGGAGTTATTCAAGCATAGTCTCTACTGGACACAGCATGGAGATGAGTCCTGGAAGTAGAAAATGTTTGAAGGAAGTGGCACAGCCCTCATCTTTGAGATGAATCTTTAGAATGAAGGGGTAATTCTGTACTATCCTTGGGATCTCCAGTGATAGTAACAGACTATAGAGAGGCTTGTGTAGGGGGTGCCTCCCATAGTAATGGATGAATTAATGGGTATGGTTCCACTGGAAGATGCAAACAGGGCAATTTTGGCCTGGGAGGATGCAACTGAATGGGAGAAGCCACAGGTGTTGACATTTGGAGCAACTTCCTGTTCATCCCCTGCATGCTGATGTCAGTGAGTGTGCACGCGCCATTGAAGATAAAGACAATGAGGTTCTGGAAATGAGTCACATGCTGAAGTCCTGGAATCCCAGTGCCCTTGCTTCTCCCTATGAGAACCCAGGCTTCAACCTGCTGTGCCTGGAGCTGGAGGGAGCACAGGAGTTGGTGACTCAACTTAAAGCCATGGGAGGTGTTAGTGTGGCTGGGGACCTCCTCCACCAACTTCAGAGCCAGGTATGTGGATGGATTAAAGAATACTCCTCCCTAGGCTGAGTGCGGTGGCTCACACCTGTAATTCCAGCACTTTGGGAGGCTGAGGCAGGTGGGTCACCTGGGATCAGGAGTTCGAGACCAGCCTGGCTAACATGGTGAAACTCCGTCTCTACTAAAAATACAAAAATTAGCCAAGTGTGGTGGTGGGCACCTGTAATCCCAGCTACTTGGGAGGCTGAGGCAAGAGAATTGCTTGAACCCAGGAGATGGAGGTTGAAGTGAGCTGAGATCATGCCACTGCACTCCGGCCTGGGCAACAGAGCAAGACTCTGTCTCAAAAAAAAAAAAAAAAAAAAAAAAAATATATATATATATATATATATGATCTCCCTCCCTGTCACAGCCTCCTGTCTTCTCTAACCTCATGTATTGGACAATTTCCAACATTACTTCTTTCTGGGGAAGAAAACTCTGAGTTGAGGAATATGACAGCCAGAGTTCAGTTTTTAAGAACACTCTGCAACCCACTTCTCGGGCGTCTCATTTCCATAGGTGACTAACGCCAGTCTCACACTCAAACTTTTGGCTGACTCTGACCAGTGCAGCTTTGGTGCTCTCCAGCAGGAGGTGGATGTCCTTGAGAGTCAACTAAGTGAATGTGAGAGAGAAAAGGAGAAAGAATAGGCCTTTGGACACCCTGGACCACCCCTCCCCCCGGTGAGTGCACAGACTGAATTTCTCAAGGTCTTATCTCTCCAGAGACCAGGTTGGGAGTGCATGTTGGCTATGGTAAACTGAGGGGAAGGAATTACAAATCTTTTTCTTTTTTTTTTTGAGATGGAGTCTTGCTCTGTCACCCAGGCTGGAATGCAATGGTGCAATCTCAGCTCACTGCAACCTCTGCTTCCTGGGTTCAAGTGATTCTCCCACCTCAGGCTCCCAGGTAGCTGGGATTACAGGTGCACACCACCATGCCCTGCTAAGTTTTTTTATTTTTAGTAGAGACAGAGTTTTGCGATGTTGGCCAGGCTGGTCTTGAACTCCTGACCTCATGTGATCTGCCCACCTTGGCCTCCCAAGGAGCTGGGATTACAGGTGTGAGCCACCACGCCCAGCCCAAGTACAAATCTTGATAGAGAATAAATCTTTCATTTTTTTTGTTTTGTGCATCACTGAAAAATGCAGACCAAGATTGATATATTCTCATACATGAGCATACATATACACAGACATATGAACACCCCATAATCATACATACAAAATAACCTATGTTTATGCAAAATCAACCTGCTGATATGCTTGTATATGCACTCAGGTGCATGGATACACACTCAAACCCACACATGGTTATTATACTTTCACACTCAGCTACCTGTGGGTTGTGTGCTTTAAACTTGGCTTATATATTGCCTGCTTTTTCCCCTAGCTTCTTGTGCCCATGGAGGCCTCCAGGAAGTTAGCAAATCCCTTGTGGTGCAGCTCACTCGGAGAGGCTTCTCATATAAGGCAGGTCCCTGGGGCCGAGACTCAGCACCCAATCCAGCCTCTTCCCTTTACTGGGTTGCTCCTCTACGTACAGATGGCAGGTGAGCCCTGAGTGACTTCTGTTCTGCAATCGGATTAATTCCAAATGTCCCCTACCCATACCCAAACAGGGTTCTTTACAGCCCCACGCTGGTTTCTTCTATTTTAAGTATGCCCCAAAGCAAACCTAGCCTAGGCCTGACAGGTCACCTCCTAACGCTCTTCTCATGAGACAAGCGTGACCCAGACTGCCCTGAGTTTCCTTCACAAATCCACTGCCTACAAATTTTAATCCCATAGTAACTCAAAGATGGTTCTACTTCTACTCTGATTCTATGTAAAGAACAAACTCTTCTACACCTGGGCCTCAAAATTCTAACTTCCTGCTTAGAAGTTCAGAGCATGTCTCTGGCCAAGCTTGAGACTTGGAATTAAGCCAATCTGTGTTTGAAACTCTATACTGCCATTTAAGCTAAGTGACCTTGGGAAAATGAATTAACATCTCAGAACCTTTCTTAGCCATATGTAAAATGAGGATAATTATACATATTTGAGAAGATCACATAAGATTACATAGAAAAGTATGTAAAACATAGGTGATGATATGTATTTATTAGATGAAAGAATGGCTAAAAGAGTCAATAAATAGACGAATAAGACCTTCAATACATTGTCAACCTTGCTAGGGAGGTAGGCCCAACACACAGAATGTTAAAAGCCAGTGTGTGTGAAAATGTGATATAGACCTGTTGCGAGAGAGAGACATGAATCTAGGTTGAACCAGTCATTGAAGAGCTCCAGTTGAAGCTCAACTCAGAAAGATCAGTGTTACTGAAAATTAGTATTACTGAAAATAATATTCCCAAAATTCTATGCTTATCTAAAATGTATTGTATAGGCCACAATTTGTAGCATATAACTCATATGTGCTATACTTTGTAGCCTATAAAATACATTTACACGCCTTGGAACCCTCTCAAAATCTATAGGTAATCAGGACTTACAGAACAATGTTAAGAGATAAGATTACTCATAACTCAGAGATAATTTAAGGAACTTTCCAATGTGACCTCATGAGAACAAATCTCCCTGAATCCAGCTCCAGAAATATGTCCTGTTACAGGACCCTTGCATCTTGAGGACAGGTGGAAGGCAGTGCAGAGTAGATACAGAAGAATCTCCATAAGGAAGAAAAAATAATAGCTACCATTTTTTATTGCTTATTGAAACAAATGCTGTACTAATTGTTTTCTTTGCTTTATTTTGGACAGTCCTAACAGTCAATAAAGTAGCTTGTTACTTTTGTTTACAGTTTTTACTTATAAGCTGTGTGACCTCGAGCAAATGACTCAACCTTTCTAAGACTTAGTCTCTTCATCTGTAAGGATAAAACCTACCTTACAGTGCTGTTATTATAATTAAATAAGATTGTGCATATATAGTGTCTAATAGGCACTGTAGCTATTGGTGTTTTATTATTACTGTTACTTTTAAAAATAATTGTTTAGTTTGTCATGGTTGAGTAAGTGAAAGATGAACTAAAGTCAATTGTTTGATAGCAAAGCCCCTGCTCTTAATTAGCAAACTGATCTGCCTATTTTTGTAGCTCTTTGTTACCTTAGTTATGGCTGTCACCCAATAATTCTGAATGCAGGGACTTGGCCTAGGTACTTTGACTACTATCGGCTGTGCAAATCCTATAATGACCTCGCACTGCTGAAAAACTATGAAGAGAGGAAGATGGGCTATGGTGATGGCAGTGGAAACGTTGTGTACAAGAACTTTATGTACTTTAACTACTGTGGCACAAGTGACATGGCCAAAATGGACCTTTCCTCCAACACACTGGTGCTGTGGCGTCTGCTGCCTGGTGCCACCTATAACAACCGCTTTTCCTATGCTGGTGTGCCCTGGAAGGACTTAGATTTTGCTGGTGATGAGAAGGGGCTGTGGGTTCTCTATGCCACTGAGGAGAGCAAGGGCAACCTGGTTGTGAGTCGTCTCAACGCTAGCACCCTAGAAGTGGAGAAAACCTGGCGTACCAGCCAGTACAAGCCAGCCCTGTCAGGGGCCTTCATGGCCTGTGGGGTGCTCTATGCCTTACACTCACTGAACACCCACCAAGAGGAGATCTTCTATGCTTTTGACACCACCACCGGGCAGGAGCGCCGCCTCAGCATCCTGTTGGACAAGATGCTGGAAAAGCTGCAGGGCATCAACTACTGCCCCTCAGACCACAAGCCGTATGTCTTCAGTGATGGTTACCTGATAAATTATGACCTCACCTTCCTGACAATGAAGACCAGGCTACCAAGACCACCCACCAGGAGGCCCTCTGGGGCTCATGCTCCACCAAAACCTGTCAAACCTAACGAGGCTTCCAGACCCTGAGACCCCAGGGCTAGGCAGAGCATTGGTAGAAGTGTGCCCTCTTCCTTACCTCCAGGAGGACCACATCCCAAAGTGGCCATTGGTCCTAATGATTGGAAGACTGATTATATCTAGTGAGTTCTTTATGTAATTAATATCTCAATCAGTACATTAAGGTTCCCTTTAATAATGGTCTAGGTGGATTTGATAGGGAAAAAGTAAAATATTAGCTAAGAAAATGGTACCCTCTCTTTCTGATGCTTTGGCATCTCATATTCCTTTTTTCATAAATCCAGCTCCCGGAACTCAAGAGTTCTGTGATCTAGAATTGTCAATCTCAGGTTGGGAACACCTGATTCCAGTGCAGAAGCTGCAGGGCAGCTGGTCATTAGAGTAGGATATGAAAGTTCCCTTTCTTATCTCCACCTTCCTGTGAGGTCCCTGGGGAGAAAAGGGGCAAGATCTTGGTCTGGTAATCAATTTTTCATTGTCCTGGATCGATCTCACTTTTGAGTGCAATTGCAAGAGAATAGGCCTGAGTCTTGCTGTAGTAAGTTAGCAACTGGCCTTATAGCATGATGAGGATCTGACATGGATGGTGCTGGGGGTCTAGATATTCTCAATAAAGAATCATTGGTTTGATAGCAGAAGGTCTCCTGGCCAACGGCCTATCATCCCTTTGCTTGTCTTCAACACACTGGGAACATATGGGCTCGAGCTTTTTGCTTGTTCCTTAGCTATCTGTGTGGTGCTCCTCCCTCTCCAGGCAGGTGGATGGAATATATAAAATCCAGACCCTGAAGGCTTCCTAGTAACACAGAATATGCATACAATTTCATATATACATTCGATAAGACATGTACACTCTCACTCATATAAATAATTATTTCCATCTGCATCTAAATAAAAACCAAACACAATTCTCCAAATTTACATGGGACCAAGAATCCAGCTTTTTAGTTGCCTGTATTTGTCCCCTTAAGAATTTTACTACTAACCACCTCCTCTCCCACCTCTTGATTTACAGACGACATTCCCCCTTAATGCTTTGACATAAAGGTGGGCACACAAGAGTGGGTTAGGACATTGAAACAAATCATTCTAAAACTTCTGTTATATTGACATGTAGAAGAGACCAAGTGATATGTGAATAAAAGGCATATTATAAAAAAGAGCTAATTCACATTTAGTTTGGCATGTGCCTATGAAGAGCCTTCCTGGTTAGCCCTACTCCTGCTTCCTAGGACAGAGGAAAATTTTCCCCACCACATGGGAGCACAATTAAATATAGAATCCCAAAATCTAGACTCTATATAAGACCCAAATTTCCAGATCATTAAAAAAATTAATGCGCTCCTTCCTATGGGAGAGACTGCATTCTTATAGGAATGTGGCTTTATCTATGGCTTCAGTAGACCCAACTTTTCATACAAGTCTAACATCCCTATAAGGAACATACACACAGTATCACACGGAAACACACATCCCACATTTAAAAATATGGTTTTTATTTACTTTTTTGTTTTCTTACTAGTTCCATCCAGAGAACTTTGTCCCTGTTTTCTGGAAAATTATTTTATTTTATTGTAGAGCCCTGGACCCCTAAATATGTCCTCCTTCCCCAGCTGGCCCAGGGTGACTGCGAGGATAGAGTTGACATCACAATATCCCTTTTCTGAGGATTCATGCCCCTGGTGGGTGGGGTAGGAGGAGGGGTAGCCCTAGGAGAAGTCATCACCACTTTGTCCACCATGGGTGAATTATGAATCAGTAGCTATGCCAGGCCTCAGCTGGGCCACATCTGGAGAACTGGGGTGAGGGCACAACATCACAAAATATCTGGCCCCAGTCTGGTCACTCATCCCTTTTAGGGCAACAAGGAAACTATCCTGTGGCCTGAGAGCACAATACCTGAGACAAAGGCCAGCAGAAACATTTGTCTGCCCTCACCCTTTCTGCCCCAGCTTCCACCTGCTCCCCATCTGCCCACCCACTAAAGCCCATGTGGCATGCCATCTCTCGAACATCCAGGATGTCCCAGAGTGGATGTCCATCAGGTCTGCTGGCAGACAAAAATATCTCTTCAAGTGCCACTCGAGTGATAGTGAAGACTGCAGGCAACCAGAAAGACTTTATGGTAGCTGATGACATCTCGGTAAGGCAGTTCAAGGAGATGCTATTGGCTCACTTCCAATGCCAGATGGACCAACTAGTGCTGGTCTTCATGGGTTGCCTTCTCAAAGACCATGACACACTGAGCCAGAGGGGCATCATGGATGGCCACACCATCTACTTGGTCATCAAGTCCAAGCAGGGCTCCAGATCTCTAGCCCATTCCTTCCGGGACCTGCCAACGAATGATCCCTGCCACCGGGACAGAAACACCAAAGGAAACAGCAGCAGAGTGCACCAACCAACTGGTATGAATCAAGCTCCAGTGGAACTGGCCCACTTTGTGGGGTCTGATGCACCCAAAGTGCATACCCAAAACTTGGAAGTGAGCCACCCAGAGTGCAAAGCACAGATGCTGGAGAATCCTAGCATCCAGCGGCTTCTGTCCAACATGGAGTTCATGTGGCAGTTCATTTCAGAACATCTAGACACGCAACAATTGATGCAGCAGAACCCAGAAGTTTCCCGCCTTCTTCTTGATAATTCTGAGATCCTATTGCAGACTCTGGAGCTGGCCAGGAACCTTGCTATGATCCAAGAGATAATGCAGATCCAACAACCTTCACAAAACCTTGAGTATCCACTGAACCCACAGCCATATCTGGGCTTAGAGACAATGCCAGGTGGGAATAATGCCCTGGGTCAGAACTATGCTGATATCAATGATCAAATGCTGAACAGCATGCAAGATCCTTTTGGAGGAAACCCTTTCACAGCTCTCCTGGCAGGACAAGTGCTAGAACAAGTCCAGTCTTCACCCCCACCTCCACCACCATCACAGGAACAACAAGACCAGCTCACACAGCATCCTGCAACCCGAGTCATCTATAATAGCTCTGGTGGTTTCTCTTCAAACACCTCAGCCAATGACACCCTTAACAAGGTCAACCACACTTCCAAAGCCAACACTGCTATGATTTCCACCAAGGGCCAGAGCCATATCTGTGCCACTCGGCAGCCAGCTTGGATACCAGCCTTACCTAGCATAGAGCTTACCCAGCAGCTTCAAGAAGAATACAAGGATGCCACTGTTTCTCTAAGTAGCTCCAGACAGACATTAAAGGGTGATCTCCAGCTGTCAGATGAGCAGAGCAGCTCCCAGATCACAGGAGGCATGATGCAGTTGCTTATGAACAACCCCTACCTGGCAGCTCAGATTATGTTGTTCACAAGTATGCCCCAGCTGAGTGAACAGTGGAGGCAGCAGCTGCCCACATTCCTGCAGCAGACACAGATTTCTGATCTGCTTAGTGCTTAGGCAACCCTAAAGCATTCCAAGCAATATTGCAGATTGAGCAGGCCCTCCAGCTGCTGGCCACAGAGGCTCCTGTTCTTCTGCCTTGGGTTGCACCCTACCTATGGGGCCTGGGTTGGCTTCCTGCCCCCAGCTGCAGCTATCCTGACACAGTGCCCTGTTCCTGGAATGTTTCAGATACAGCTGAGCCCAAGGGACCTGAGTGCTGCCACAAGCCTGGAACAGTCCTGCAGAGGCTACAATCCCCGGATGGGGACCCTTCCCACCCTCTGCAAGCTCCTGAGATTTGTTTTAGCAAACAGATGGATTCTCTCCAGGCCATGGGATTTGGGAACCACCATGCCAATCTACAGGCACTCATTGCTACTGAAGGGGACACCAATGCTGCTATCCGCAAGCTCAAGAGATCCCAGAGATTCTAACCACCATGCCTACTTGTTTGCTTGCTACCTGCCTGCTGACCCACCTGAC